>NC_000002.12:20237028-20388543 GCF_000001405.40 Homo sapiens | reverse complement strand
GTTACCCCCAGAACCAACCTGACCACAGGGAACCATTCACCTAAGAGGTGCACCTGTAGACCTGTTTAAGGCACTCAGAGGCCTAGCCGTCCAAAGGTGATTGTCATTGAAATCCCAAAGCCTTGTGAGGTAGGCAGGGCAGCTATTACAATCCCATTTTATAGGCAAAGAACTGACGCTCAAGGAATTACATGCAAAAATTAAAACCAGGTCCCAGAACTCCTGGCTCTCTCCCTGGCTCTCTCTCTGCACATGGACTTATCTCCAAGCTGCTCATCTTCTCTCAACATCTCCCAAACCCCACTCCAAGTAGCCTTTGCCAAGACTGCGAGAGCTGTAATGGCCCTTAAGCCAGCCCAGAGGACAGAGAGGAAAAGACACGAAGTTTTCACTTTGTGAGAATTTAAAACTTCCACAGGGAAAAAAATAAAACAAATAATATCCCAGGCAAATATATTTAAAATAGGAAAGAGTTAATATCTGCAGTAACCAAAGATCCAAATGCTTCACCTGAATCCCAAGCTGTCCTGAAGACCGTCCCCACCAGGGCAGGGACTAGTCAGCCCAGGTCCCACAAGTGGGGTGAGCCAGGTAGGATTGGGTCTTCCCCTGTCCAAAGTGTGCTATGTCCCATAGTAGCCCCCAGGCTCTGACAACTGTGAATTAACTACCTGCTGCAGTGTTCTGGAGAGGATGATCCAGGAGATAGACATAGAGCTGAGGCATTGAGCATGGTCTCTTACAGGCAGTGTGACCGCAAAATCATTTTCCCTTTCCAAACCTGTTTCCCCTGTGAAAAATGAGCTCATAATGCCCACCTCGCAGAGCAGAAAATGGAGACCGTGGGTATATTACTAGAAAGTTCTCTGCTTATTTGCAAAGTGATTATTTCTATAATTACATAAACTAATTGGGATGGTCAGTGGACTAGCATGCAAGTGCCAGCATGCAGGAGGGGAGCCCTTATTTCCAGCTGGATTGCTCATAGTCTTAATCACCCCAAATCTGGATGATTGCAGCTCCAATTATTGGAGTTGCTGAAGTTCAGAGATTTTACCCCCAGAAGTGACTTTATGGGCTCATATGTGGATTCTGGATCTCCTCCATCACATAGTTGATGCTATTCCAGCCACCGAAGGACCACAGGCAGGCCGAGTGTGGTGGCTCATGCCTGTAATCCCAGCATTTGGGGAGGTTGAGGTGGGCAGATCATTTGAGGTCAGGAGTTTGAGACCAGCCTGGCCAACATGATGAAACCCTGTCTGTACTAAAAACACAAAAATTACCTGGGTATGGTGGTCTGAGCCTGTAATCCCAGCTACTCGGGAGGCTGAGGCAGGAGAATCGATTGAACCCGAGAGGCGGAGGTTGCAGTGAGGCTAGATTGTGCCACTGCACTCCAGCCTGGGCAACAGAGCGAGACTCCATCTCAAAAGGAAAAAAAAAAAGAAAAAAAAGACCACAGGCCCTGGTAGAAGGCTAGAAGGCCATGCCAATGTGCCCCGCCTGCAGCATCATGTGGTGGAAGGCAGACAGAAGGGCTTCCGTGCATATGTGGCCCTGGCCCAACACCACCCCCGCTCCAAGGATGACCAGCAATGAGAATACTTTGGTAGCCATGCACACATTTGTCAGCATGGTGGCCAGCTTCAAGCTCCAGCAGTTAGCCACCATCAGCAGGAGGATGCTGGTGACAGCCACATTCTTGAGCACAGCAGGGGGCAGTGAGGCACAGCCAGGGTAAAAGGGAACCATTGCATGCTCAGCAAAGCTCAGAGAAACAGAAGCAATGGTAGCTAGTCTGGCCACCAGCAAATATGTGAAGATGACCAGGAAGGCTGGCAAGGAGCCAAAGTTTCATAAGATGTAGGTATACTTGCCCCAGATTCAGGAACAAGGCACCCAGCTCAGCATAGCACAGGGTGCCCAGCATGGCCAGGAGGCCACAGCCCACCCATAAGACTGGCCCCAGGATTGCCCATGTGGACCAAGACCCCCTGTGGTGACATGAAGATGCCAGAGCCAATCATACAGCCAGCAATCAGGGACTCTGTTCTCCACAGACTAATCTCCCTTCGCAGCCTCAGCCCAGGCACCCCATCGTTGGTCCCTTGCCCTACCACCCCTCACAGCCATCTCTTTCCTTACCTCTCTCCATCTCAGGACTTCAACAGACACTGCCTCTTGTTGAGCAAAACAGGGGCTTTGATGTCTGTCTGTCTTGTGGGCTTCTTGCAGGAGTTAATGATTACGGCACCAGAGGGAGTATGAGCCAGCAGCCAAAAATCCAGGGCATAGTGTATTAAAAACAAAAACAAAAAGAAAAAAAACCTGAGGCCTCACTGATCTAGCCAGCACCCATCAACTCAGACCCTGGAACAGGGAGTTTGCAGGAGCTGTTTGCCAACACAGCCCAGGAAAGATCAAGGAAAGAGAGGTTTTAATAGAAAACCGTGTTGCACTGGGCATGGGAACTCACAACTGTAATCCCAGAATTTTGGGAGGCCAAGGCAGGAGGATCACTTGAGGCCAGAAGTTCAACACCAGCCTGGGCAATATAGCTAGACCTGGGCAACATAGCTAGACATACTGTCGATGGCTGCATTCTTGCACAGTTGAGTCACTGTGACAGGGACTGTGTGCACTGCAAAGCCTAAAATATTGACTAGCTGGTATTTTCAGAAAAAGCTACTGACCCTTGGCATTGGGCACAGACAGGAAGAATTGGGGCAGGAGAAAGAACAGAGAAGATGCCATACATCGACTGAGGCTGGCAGGCTGGCTTTGAGCACAGGTAAGGCATTTCCTGAGAAGAAATATTTCAGATGACTTTGCAGGGGCCTGGAGATCACGTATGATCAAGGTGGTAAGAGCAGGAAGCGTGAGTTTTTGATGTCAACATAACTTCATTCATCTCCATGGGAGAATGGGACATAAGGATTTTCATATTATTCTCATAAACATCTTTATAGGAGAATCATCAGCCCCATTTTACAGCTGTCCTGGTTTATAGATGGCTCATACTTACAGACTTGTATTGGTCTCTACCAAAAAAAAAATTTAAAAAATTATACCAGTGTGATGACGCATGCCTGTAGTCCTAGTTACTCAGCAGGCTAAGGTGGGAGAATCGAGGATAGCTTGAGCCCAGGAGGTCGAGGCTGCAATGAGCCACAATCACACCATTGCCCTCCAGCTTAGGTGATGGGGTGAGACCCTGTTTAAAAAAGAGAAAAAAAAGACATCTCTGTTGCCCAATTCCACAGCAATATGGGAGGAATAACAGTTGGATGGATGCTTTGTACATCATAAGCAACTGCACATCAGGAACCCAGGAAATCTTTGCAACGGTTTTATCACCCCAGCTATCAGGAAACAAAGGTTACAGTGCACTCAACCTGTAATTAAAGTTGCATGAACCCTACCCTAAAGAAGACAGGTGGGGCAGGCCACATAAGCACTTTTTAGCAGCTCCATTAACATTTCCTTACCAGTACTGTTTCATAAAAACGACCATCTTTTCTGTAGCTCAGTGGCAGAAGTCATGCACAGTAGTTGGCCCAAACCAGAATTTTTTCTTTCTTTTACTTGTTAAATTTAAACATTTTAATGTTAAAAAAAAGAGAGAGAGAGATGGGGGTCTCGCTATGTTGCCCAGGCTGGTCTCAAACTCCTGAGCTCAAGCAGTCCTCCCACCTAAGCCTCCCAAAGTGCTAGGATTACAGGCGTGAGCCACCATGCCTGGACCAAAATTATTTCCAGTCATCAAACCAGTAGCCATTATTTTTCCAATTTTGTTTTTTGACCTCTGGTGCCCAATTCTGTGCATCTTTAGTAATTGTTCTAAGATCATCTTTTGGAAACTTTTCTAACTAGGCCATGAGATTTGATCAGAAGGATCTCTAAGAGGAACACTCTTTGTAGCATTATCAGCAAAGTGGTATTCCTCTAACCTCCATGAAGTCTAGTTTCAAATGTCCTGGAATCTTAATAATGGCCAGAGCAGCAGGTAGCTGCTTTGCATCTAATAAGTCTTTTACACGAGGTTCATTATTTATTTTGTCTCTATTAGAAGAAAGGAGGCCCTGAGCCTACACTGGCTCAGGAGGCTTTTCTGATTCAAAAATTTAAAAATTATTCTCACTCCCGTATGTTGGCCCTCTGTTAAAATAGAAACAGGGGCCAGGCATGGTGGCTCATGCTTGTAATCCCAGCACTTTGGGAGGCCGAGGCGAGCAGATTACATGAGGCCAGGAGTCTGAGACCAGCCTGGCCAACATCTCTACCAAAAATACAAAAATTAGCTGTGCCTAGTGGTGCACGCCTGTAATCCCAGCAACTTGGGTGGGTGAGGCACGAGAATCGCTTGAACCCAGGAGGCGGAGGTTGCAGTGAGCCGAGGTCACACCATTGTACTCCAGCCTGGATGACAGAGCGAGACCCTGTTTCAAACAAAACAAAACAAAACAAAAATACAAATGGGAATTGATTTATGTCCCACTCCTTAATACATGTAAACTTTGTGCAAAAATATCTTCTATGAAAAGATTTGTAATCTGTAGACTTAATATCTGGGAGATGTCCTTAGATGTAAAATCCCATCGTTTGGGTTGTGGGTTTTTTGTTTTCTCCAAATAAATCTGATCTTTAAAGTTAAAAAAAAAAAGCTTTTTAATTAAATTTTTTAAAAATGTTTAAAGAAAATGAGAAAATAAAATTAAAACAAGAAAACATCTCTGCTTCCACAATCTTTCAAAATCATGAGCAAGTTTGAATGCATATCTACTATCTGTATAAATGTTAGCGGTTTTTCTCTTGGCAAGGAAGCAGGCTCAAATGAGGGCAAATAGCTCTGTCTGCTGGACTGAAGTAGCTAAAGCAAAGAGGCTGCTTCCAGTCTCCAAGGAAGTGGTAATAACATAACCTGCTTATTGTTTACCAGTATCATCCTGTATGAGCCATCTATAAACCAGGACAGCTGTAAAATGTGGCTGATGATTCTCCCACAAAAGTATTCATGAGAATAATATGAAAATGCTTATGTCCCATTCTCCTACGGAGATGGATGAAGTTATGTTGACGTCGAAAACTCACGCTTCCTGCTCTTACTCACCTTGATCATACGTGACCTCCAGTCCCCTGCAAAGTCTTCTGAAGTGTTTCAGGGACTTCTCAGGAAATGTCTTACCTGTGCTGAAAGCCAGCCTGCCAGCCTCATTCTATGTATGGCATCTCCTCTGCTCTTTCTCCTGCCCCAATTCTCCCCATCTGTGCCCAATGCCAAGAGTCAGTAGCTTTTTCTGAAAATACCAGGTAGTCAATATTTTACTCTTTGCTGTGCACACAGTCCCTGTCACAGTGACTCAACTCTGTGAGAAAGCAGCCATCGACGATATGTCAACAAATGAGTGTGGCAAGTTTCTCAATAAAACTTTATTTATGAACAATGAGATTTCCATTTTAATTTCATATAATTTTTGTATGTCATAAAATATTATTCTTTTTTTGCTTTTTTTCCCCCAATCTTTTTGAAATGTAAAAAACGTTCTTAGCTCACAGGCCATAAAACAAAGACAGGGAGCAGGCCAGGTTTTCCCACTGGCTGCAGTTTGCCAACCACTGCCCTATACCCATGACACTGCAGCGGAGGCCCCTCACTCCTATGAAAACGCCAATGTATCCAAGGATGCTGCCTGCAGTGTTTCCAAAGCTTCCAGTCCTCAAAGTGCTGGGAGGTGCTGGGATCCATGCAGAAATGAAGGAAGTTTCCTTTTCCCAGCTTTGCAAAATACTTTGTCACCTCAACCTAGAAGCTTCAGTTGCCCATATGCCCAGAGATAATCAAAGTGCAACCATATAATGAGGTCATACCCAAAGCTGACTGAGTCCTCCTCTTATAACCTCACCCAGGGGTGGATCCAGGTTTTGTGGCGCTTGAAGCATGTAAAATTTGGAGGTCCTTTTTTAGGCTGGGCATGGTGGCTCACGCTTGTAATCCCAGCACTTTGGGAGGCAGAGGTGGGCGGATCACGAGGTCAGGAATTCAAAACCAGCCTGGCCAATATGGCGAAACCTGGTCTCCACTACAAATACAAAAATTAGCCGGGCATGGTGGCGCGTACCTGTAGTCCCAGCTACTCAGGAGGATGAGGCAGAAGAATCACTTGAATCCGGGGGGCGGAGGTTGCAGTGAGCTGAGATCGTGCCACTGCACTCCAGTCTGGGCGACAGAGCAAGCCCACATCTCAAAAAAAAAAAAAATTTGGAGGCCCTCTTTTAATACAAGATGGGTGTGATGGTGGCATCAGTGAAAATGGTGGAATAAGAAACTCCAAAAGCCTGTGCCTCCCTAAAATCAATGAAAAATACTGTAAGAATTAACTTTCTCAGGATTCTTTTTTTTTTTTTTTCTTTATAGAGACAGGCTGTCACTATGTTGCCCAAGCTAGTCTCAAACTCCTGGCGGCAAGTGACTCTTCCACCTCAGCTTTCCAAAGTGCTGGGATTACAGATGTGGGCCACCACACTCAGCCAACTTTTTCAGAATTCTGGAAACTAATCAAAAGCTTATAGTAATCAGGAGAGTGTCTAAGCTAGTAAAACAGTTGCATCCTGGTAAGAGCAGGGGGTCTCTGTGACATTTTAACTGACTCTGGTCTCATCCTCCTCTCCCCAGCTCAGCAGTAGCCTTGAAAATAACAGCCTGTATTCCCAGTATTACAAACTGTCCCAGAGGGAGCAGAATGGGAACACAAAGAATTGTAATTATTGGTTCTGTCCCTGGAAGACCAGCTCAAAAGGCCTGCCCTTAGCTCATCTAACTTGGAACTCAGCCAAGCTAACACAGCAGGCAGCAATTGCTAACAGTCAAGGCATACAATAGACTAACTAATGCACTTGGATGGAAAGCCTAGGGGAATGAGTTCCTTCGGGCAATAAGGACTTTGAAAACTTCTCATAGATTCCTGGAAATCTAGAAGGCCACACACCTAAAGTGGTACGCATGCTCAGAAAAGACCTGATAAGGCTCTAAAATTCCATGTCAGGGTGACCTTCCCCTCAGGCTCTGTTCAAGCAGGTGAGGGCTAAGGCACAATTGCAAACCACCTGGCTGAATGTTGAAGATCTGTCCCAACACCTACAAAAAGCCCATCTGCAAAGACTGGGAGATATTTTGGTATCAGGTGTTCAAGGAAAGCTCTTTCTAATCATTAGCTGACTACTATAAGTCATGGATAATGGAATATAATTGAGAGTATCGAGAAATAAACTCATATATTTATGATCTACTGATTTTCAAGAAGGGTATCAAGATAATTCAATGGAGAATTGTCTTTACAACAAATGATGTTGGGAGACTGGATAGCTACGTGAAAATAAATGAATTTGGACTCTAACAGCTTAGTCCCTGGGCTGCTGGGGGAGGGAGAGGGTAGAAGGGAGGCGTGGCTGCTGGGGCCCCCTCTAGACAAGCACTCTGGTCCCCAACCTGCTGTTCCAGGGGTTCCTTCCAAGCACACTCTTTCCCCAACAAGATCATTCCATTTTTGTCCCCGTCATTTGGGAAAATGTAGTTTCTCCTAGCTTAACCATGCCTTCAGCAACACAGAGCCATGCATGCTTCTCAGATGTAGCTCCTTGGATCTCTGGTCACAATGGGCCTTTTAGGAAGCACTGGGGCCTCACACACCCTGGCAAGAAGCCCAGGGAGAGGGTCCTGCATGAGGTGGAGTGGAGCAGCCCAGGGCCTTTGATACCCTGGACAATATTGGTGTCAAGAAATTCTTTCTGTATGAACAGACGCTTCTCAGAAAAAGACATTTATGCAGCCAATAAACATGAAAAAAAAGCTCAACATCACTGATCATTAAAGAAATGCAAATCAAAACCACAATGAGATACTATCTCACACCAGTCAGAATGGCAATTATTAAAGTCAAGAAACAGGCTGCGCACGATGGCTCATGCCTGTAATCCCAGCCCTTTGGGAGGCCGAGGGGGACAGATCACTAAGGTCAGAAGTTTGAGACCAGCCTGGCCAACATGGTGAAACCCCGTCTCTACTAAAACTTACAAAAATTAGCTGGACGAGGTGGCACACGCCTGTACTCCCAGCTACTTGGGAGGCTGAGGTGGAAGGATCGCTTGAACCCGGGAGGTGGAGGTTGCAGTGAGCTGAGATCGCGCCACTGCACTCCAGCCTTGGCAACACAGTAAGATTCTGTCTAAAAATAAAAAAAAAAAAAAGTCAAGAAACAACAGATGCTGGCGAGGATGTGGAGAAATAGGAATGCTTTTACACTGTTGGTGGGAATGCAAATTTGTTGAACCATTGTGGAAGACAGTGTGGCGATTCCTCAAGAATCTAGAACCAGAAATACCATTTGACCCAGCAATCCCATTACTGGATATATACTCAAAGGAATATAAATCATTCTATTATAAAATGCATGCACACGTATGTTTATTGCAGCACTATTCACAATAGCAAAGACACGGAATCAACCCAAATGCCCATCAATGGTAGACTGGATAAAGAAAATGTGGCACATATACACCATGGAATACTATGCAGCCATATAAAGAAATGAGATTATGTCCCTGAGAGAGACATGGATGGAACTGGAAGCCATTATCTTCAGCAAACCAGCACAGGAACAGAAAACCAAACACTGCATGTTCTAACTTATAAGTGGGAGCTGAACAATGAGAACACATGGACACAGGGAGGGGAGCAAAACACACTAGGGCCTATTGTGGGGTGGGCAGGGGGAGGGAGAGCATCCGGATAAATAGCTAATGCGTGCGTGGCTTAATACCTCGGTGATGGGTTGATAGGTGCAGCAAACCACCATGGCACACGTTTACCTATGTAACAAAACTGCACATCCTGCACATGTACCTGGAACTTAAAATTTTAAAAAAAGAAAAAAGAAATCCTTTTAAGAACACTCTGGGACACAAATGATGGGAACAAGACCAAGTCCTGATTTCTGAAAGCTCCGTGGCCCTACAGCCCCAGGAGCAAGAAGGAGAAAGTGATTGTCAACTCAGAGACCTCGAGTAGGTGCCAGGCCTCTCCCATCTGTCAAGGCAGGAACAGCTGGCCACAGCCTCCAAGCTTCAGCAAAGCCAGGCAAAGAAGCAGCCGTTCCTGCCCTATCTACTGAACCCAGTATTTCCCACCCACGAGAGCCCTATAAGGACAGGACAGAGTCCTGGGAGAGGAGCTGCCTCACGGCCCAAGAGCAATCTTGGCACCGCTCCCTACGGGAGCACCAGGCCCAGGCAAAGGCTGGGAGGGTGGACGCCCAGGCCTGGACTGGGGGCTGCCGCCCTCTAGTGGGCCCAGAGGGACAGAGGGAGAGAGAAGAACTGGACAGAGAGAAAGAGGAGAAAGAGGAGAAAGACAGAGAGAGAGAGAGAGAGAGGGCGTCAAGGCAAAGGGGAAACAGAAGGACATGGACAGGCGAGAAGTAGGGAGAAGCAGTCTCATTCCCGGGCAATTCAGCTTCCCACTGGGCAGTGCATATTTCACCTGATTTGTACATTGGTCCCTGAGAGCTCTGTGAGGGCGAGTGTGGCCAGGGCTCTCATTCATCACCAATAGCTCTGACGGAGTTGGGAATTCCTGAGCCACTGTTCTTTGCTGATCTTATCCGGCTGCCTCCTCCTGTGAGATTGCACCGAGGACCCGCTGCCAGATGGGTCAACTTAGGTGTCATCTCCTTCTGACTCCAACTGTCCCATCCATTCCTCTGATTTCCACCCAATCCTTATATTTTTGCTAAATCTGTAGTTCTATTCTTGACCTCCCTCCAGAGCTTCAGACCTGTACACCAAGTTATCCACTGAACACCCCTCGTGCACGCCCCTGAAACACCTCACACTCACTATGTGCAAAATGGAGCTCATCGCCTTCCCCAAACCCACTCCTCTTTGTGGCGTCTCTAATCTTCAGCAACCCTACCATGTTTACTTAACATGGTAAACACTGCGAGGGGCCACCAAGGCTCCCCTCAGGAATGAGGGGTTTATTCTCCCAACTGCTAGAAGCACTGCCGGCAGAAAACCAGGGGTTTCCTCAACTGCAGAGAGCCCCTCACCCAAGCTCATTCCTTTCCCAGAAAGGTCCACATCCTGTGACCCATCAATGTGAGAACACAAAGACCCAGACCCGTTGCCCCGGCTGGCACAACTCTGCAGGGTGGTCCCAGTTTTGCAGCTCCCGGGAGGGTCAGAGGGCTCTCTGTTGAAGCTGTACTGCAGCTCACTTTCTCCATCTGCCCAATCCTGCTTCCTCCCCTTCCCTTCCGTAGGCATTGAGCCCAAAAGAACAGCCGAATCAACCTTTGGATGTCTGTCTGAGACTTTTTTCCCAGGAGTGCATTCTGCATGGCGCCAATCAGAATCCCAAAAGAAAAAATCCCAAACACCATAATCGCAAATGGTGAAATCCTGAAAGATCTAAAATCCCTACCATCTAAAATCCTAAATATCACAACCCCAAAAGACTAAAATCCTGAAAGCTGAATTCTGAGAAAGGAATTCGAACATTTTCAGTTGTAGGCAGGACAGTTGTATCATGTCAGTTGCACCACATTAAGCAGAACTATTACTTCATTATTGTTTTTATTTGCATTTGGTGGAAAATTCAGATGAGTGGATTGGCCACTTATCTGAACGACAACAAAAATTACAGTTTAAAAATGCGTCATTTTCTGCATTGGTGAATATTCCATCTGGCTGATGAAATTCCAGGAGCTTTTAATAAATATAAAGCTTCATTTGCCTGAAGAAGCCAGCAAAGTTATTGACTGGTTTGAAAATAATTATGTTCATGGTAGAATAAGAAGACATGGTGTTGCTGTCCTATCGCCAGTATTGCTTCCACCAAATTCATGATCTGTATATGAGGGCATGTGAAATGGATTTCTGAGTCCCCAAAACAACATAGAAACATGGCACAGCAGATGGGAAAATGTAGGCCGGTTGCGGTGGCTCACACTTTTGGGTACTTTGGGAGGCCAAGATGGGTGGATCACCTGAGGTCAGGTGTTTGAGACCAGCCTGGCCAACATGGTGAAACGCCTTCTTTACTAAAAATACAAAAATTAGTCAGGTGTGGTGGCACATGCCTGTAATCCCAGCTACTCGGGAGGCTGAGGCATGAGAATCACTTGAACCTCAGAGGGGGAACTTGCAGTGAGCTGAGATCACGCCACTGCACTCCAGCTTGGGCGACAGAGAAAACTCCGTCTCAAAAAAAAAAAAAAAAAAAAAAGATGGGAAAATGTAACAGGGAATACTGAATCATGGAAGAATTTCTTTTCTTTCTTTCTTTTTTTTTTCTGAGACGAAGTCTGGCTTTATCACTCAGGCTGGAGTGGAGTGGCCTGATATCTTGGCTCACCGCTACCTCTGCCTCCCAGGCTCAAGCCAGCCTCCCACCTAAGCCTCCCACGTAGCTGGGACTACAAGCACGCACCACTATGCCCACCTAACTTTTTGTTGGTGATGGTGGTGGTAGAGATGGGGTTTCACCATATTTGGGACGTCTCAGCCTCCCAAAGTGCTGGGATTACAGGTGTGAGCCACTGTGCCTGGCCAAGAATTTCAAAAAGAGCAACACCACATTGAAAATGAATGTGAACATATTTGCTAAGAAGAGCCATGCCCTAAAAGAAAAAAAGCAACTATTCATCTCAATGCAGGACTTCAAAATGTAATAATGATCATCAAAGTTGGTTAGCTCTTACGGTCTACCTATGTGCAATTACCCACAATCTATCCCTGTAATACACTTTTTCATATGTCAATTTTTCTGTTTTTATTTTTTTAGTTTTTCCCACTATTTTAAATTGTCAGCATTACTTTCAACAACTCACTATGCTATGGATTTCTTTTTTTTTTTAAGAGATGGGTCTCTCTATGTTGCCCAGGCTGAAGTGCATTGACTACGCACAGGCATGATCATAGCACAGTACAACCTCAAACTCTTGGGCTTAAGCAATTCTGCCTCAGCCTACCGAGTTGCTGGGACTATGGGTGTGTGCCACCATGCTCAGCTATGCAATGGATGTCATCGTCGCATCATTTCCAATAGGGGAGGTATAAATTTTATAAAGACTTTTATATTTTACCCAAATTTGCTTCCACAAAATTACATTACCTCAATGTTGCCTTTGTGTGTAAGCAATGCGCATGTATGTAAAAACGTTGAAACTTCCTCAGTAAATGAAGAGATGTCCGTTTTTGTTCACTGGCATTTGTGAAAGATAAAATTTTTTGAGCACACAGGGGTAACTCACTGCGGTTTTTTATCTTTGGTTGATCTCATCAAAAGACTTAGGTTGTCCATCACAGTATTTCAGATGACCACAGTTATAGAGCTGGGTGCATTGGACAGGAGAGTGTTTTGTATTTAAGTATTTTGAAAAATTAAATAAAGCTGGGTACACACAATTACCAACCATAGTGACATGTGTTTATATATTTCCCTTTTGGACCTATTTGTTTATGAATATGTTTCCTCTGCTCTTGACTGTTATACTCCTATGACTGTCTTTATTCTACCTGAGTCTTTATGGTTGCAAAATGATGTATGCTATTGCCTCTCATATTGTGTCAAGTCGCCTATGAAGTGTTATTGTGTTTTTATATGTTTCTCAAATAAATCCCCTTTTAAAATGTAAGTAAATGTCTTTAAAATAATTTCCAAAATTATTTTTTCCAGAATTATATTTTTGGGATTGTGATCTCTTGGGATTTCAACATTTGGGATTAAGGTGTGTGGGGCTCTGTTTTTCAGAATTATTATCCAAACTCCTATCCACAACACCTGATCGTGGGGCTTAAACGCTTAAAGTCCTCACCGACAGCTCCTCACCCACAACCAGGAAGGCTGGGCAATGCACCCTCCCTGCTTGTCTCAGACCCCTCACGTCCCTCATACCTATTGCCACTGCCCCAGGTCACCTAGAAAGCTACTCTCCTCCCTCCTTTTCTTAGCACAATGAGCCAGATTCATCTTCCAAAGCACCGCTGTCCTCTCCAAGCTGCAGTCTCTCGCTCTCTTGCCCTTAGAGTAAGTCCGAATGCCTCACCCGGGCCTCCATGATCCAGCCAAGCTGCCCTTGCAGCCTTTCCTCCCCGCACCCCACCGGCATCCCCTGGGCTGCCCAATCAGCCTCCACCAGATTCCCAGGCAGGGGAGCCACGGGGGAATGTCCAGTGTTGGAGCTGGAAGCCAGGGACGCTGACTTTAGAACTGGCTGGTTGCTGTGGAACCGTATGGAGTCTTCCCTGGGTTTGTCTCCCTGTTTGTGGCTTGCACTCCAGAGGCCCCTCTGGGCGATAATGAAGCACCAGGAGTGGCGCCAGGATCAATGGATCGCAGACAGAGATGGACTGCCTGGAGCAGGGTCACCAGGACCAAGGCAGTAACTCAGGTCTGTCAGCGACTTTGTCCACTTTGTTTGTCCCTCAGGCAATTCCTAGGGCCGCAGGAGGGCCCAGGACAAGCCGGGCGAGAGTGAGGATGAGGCCCGTCGCTTGCTCCTCGCTGCCAAATGACTGTCTTTTCATCCGGTTCTTGTCTCACCATCTAGACTTTTATTCATCTTAGATCTCTGAACTATACGGTCTGATTCTGTGGCATTGACTGGGTGATATATTGATCTGATTATCCCTTATGTGAAATCAGGCCTATGGATGCCATTTACTCATCAATTCAAAATTTTTTTTTCTTTATTTTTTTTTAGGTTTTTTTAGTTTCTAGTTTCTGAGGCTTTTTTGTTGTTGTTGTTTTTACTTTTGCTCTTTACATGGTGTTTCTAAAAGAGCATTTGCTCTGCTCTAGGAGGTATTTGTTTTGTTTTTGTTTTTTCGAGACAGAGCCTCAATTTGTCACCCAGGCTGGAATGTAGTGGCATGATCTCGGCTCACTGCAAGCTCTGCTTCCCAGGTTCAAGAGATTCTCGTGCCTTAGCCTCCCTAGTAGCTGGGATTACAAGAGTAGACCACCACACCTGCCTAATTTTTTCTTTTTTTTTTTTTTTGTAATTTTAGTAGAGACGGGGTTTCACCGTGTTGCCCAGGCTGGTCTTGAACTCCTGGCCTCAAGTGTTCTGCCCATCTCAGCCTCCCAAAGTGCTGGGATTACAGGTGTAAGCCACTGCAGTGGACTGCTCTAGAAGTTTTGTAATGACATTTAGACAAAACTGTAAAATTTTGCTTTTTTAAAAATTAATAAATATACATTTCACCTATATATAATAGGAACATTTTGTTTTTGAATGAAAACAATGTGTATACACAAATCCAAACTTTACTTTCTAGAAAACACTTCATTTTGAAGTGATTTTCAGAGTTGTGTGATTCTTCCAATATTTAATCTTTTAATTTAATTTTTCATAATTTAAATAGAGATGGGGTCCCACTATGTTCCCCAGGCTGATCTCTAACTCCTGGGCTCAAGTGATCCTCCTGCCTTGGCCTCCCAAAGTAACTGGTATTATAGGGGCGAGCCACCACACACAGCCCCATTATTTAATTCTTAATATTATTCCTATATATTTTACATTTATTTCTGAGTATCGGGGTTGCACATTAAAATTGGGGATTTGGAGGCAGGCGGATGACAAAGTCAGAAGATGGAGACCATCCTGACCAACACGGTGAAACCCCGTCTCTACTAAAAATACAAAAATTAGCTGGGTGTGGTGGTGTGTGCCTGTAATCCCAGCTACTTGAGAGGCTGAGGCAGGAGAATCACTTGAACCAGGGAGTCGGAGTTTGCAGTAAGCCGAGATCGTGCCACTGCACTCCAGCCTGGGCGACAGAGTGAGACTCCATCTCAAAAACAAAACAGAAAAAACAAAAACAAAAAACAAAACAAAACAAAACAAAAAAAATTAGAGATTTGGGTGATCTGCCTAAGAAACACAGTTATATTATTTGATTCTTCACTTTAAAAAAGGCATCCAAGTATAAGTCCTTTAAATCAGTCAGACTAATATTTGGTGTGATTCCATTTGTTTGTTTGTGAGACAGGGTCTTGCTCAGTCACTCAGGCTGAAGTGCAGTGGCAGGATCACAGGTCAGTGATTCTCCCACTCAGCTTCTCAAGTAGCTGGGAGGTGTGTGCCACCACTCCTGGATAATTTTTGTTTTGTTTTGTTTTGTTTTGTTTTGTTTTTGTAGAGATGGAGTCTCCCTATGCAACCCAAGCTGGTTTCTAACTTCTGGGCTCAAGTGATCCTCCCACTTCAGCCTCCCCAGTTGCTGGGATTATAGGTATACGCCACTGCCTGGCCCATCTCATTTGTTTTATGCACATGCACACTTGGAAATTTTCTGGAAGGATACAGAAGAAAGTGTTAACGGTTGTTCCTTTGAAAAAAATGAGATTGAGAAGTAAGTGCATCTTTCTGTGGCTGCTGGCATTTCTCCTAGCAAGCATAGTAAAGGAGGCATGTGCCTTTTCTGTGGCTACAGAACAGAAATTTCAGTGACTGCCCCTAGTTTTGTGAATGCAAAGAGATAGAGTATTGGGTATGACATTTTTTCGTAGGAATTGCAGTTGAGGTGGTATATCCTCAAGCCAGCAGCTGGGATAATGACTTTCTTGGCAGGCCAGTTCTGTGGAGTTGTTACAGGGGAGCCATTCCTGGAAGCTCAGCCTTAAGTCTGTTCACCTAGCCCTTGCAACAATTTTGTAATCACCTAACTTTCTGTATGAAGTCTATTTCTACTTAATTTTTTTTTTTTTTTTTGAGACGAAGTTTCACTCTGTCGCCCAGGCTGAAGTGCAGTGGCACAGTCTTGGCTCACTGCAACCTCTGCCTCCTGGGTTCAGGTGATTCTCCTCCCTCAGCCTTCCGAGTAGCTGGGACTACAGGCATGCACCACCATACCCAGCTAATTTTTGTATTTTTAGTAGAGACAGGGTTTCACTATGTTGGCCAGGCTGGTCTCGAACTCCTGACCTCAAGCCATCCTCCCATCTCGGCCTCCCAAAGTGCTGGGATTACAGGCGTGAGCCACCACACCAGCCTATTTCTACTTAACTTGTCTGGAGTTGTCTCCATTGTATGTAACCATACCTTGAACTTACACAAGGAATGGGGGAAAGAGGGGAGACTTATGAATCTCAGAGGAAATCTTCATAGGATGTTGCTAACAGCCTCCTTTGTTTAATTTTCCCCCCATGGATGAGTACTATGCCCGAACCAGATCCTGGTCTCTGTATAGCAATGTTCATCTTTCCTTGTACTGGTTCCTTCTCCACCTCTTTAGCAAGATATCTATGTTTGTGTGTTAGTCAGGACTGTTTGGTTGCAAGTAACAGAAACTGTTAACTCAATCTATTTTAAGACAGATAGATAGATAAACAGTAATATGGTTTGGATGTTTGTCCCCTCCAAATCTCATGTTGAAATGTGACCTCCAATCTTGGAGGTGGGGTATAGTGGAAGGCCCATTGGATCATGGGGGTGAATCTTTCACCAACGGTTTGCTGCCTTCCCCATGGTAATGAGTGAGTTCTTATTATGAGTGAGTCTGTTAGCTCACTTGAGAGCTGGTTGTTTAAAGGAGTCTGGCTCCTCGTCCTCACTCTCTCTTGCTCCCTTTCGCCATATGACATGCCTGTTTCCTCTCCACCTTCTGCCATGACTGTAAGCTTCTTGGGGCCCTTGCCAGAAGCAGATGCCAGCACCACACTTCCTGTACAGCCTGAAGAACATGAGCCAATTAAACCTCTTTTCTTTATAAATTCCTCAGATTCAAGCATTTCTTTATAGAGATGCAAAAACTGGCCTGACACAGACAGCCAGATAGATATTGTATTGGATCACAACCAAACAGCAAGGAGGTTGGGGTAAACCCTTCTTTTCCTTCCTCTCTCCCTCTCTCTTTCTCTCCCAGTCCGCAACTAGCTTTCTCTTTTGGTCTCTCTTTTATGCAAATTTGTGTATGTTAGCGTTCCTCTCTTAGGCTGGCTCTCTCCCACAAAAGTATAATGATGACTACTGGGAGCTCTTGGCTCAGATCATTACAGTTTGTAAGACAGAGAAGAGGGGCTTTCCTCTCCCAACTTCAGTTTGAAAAAAATCCTGTGGAATTATTCCACTTGAATTAACTTGGTTTATGTGCTTGTCTTTTGGATAAATCCTTATGTCATGAGGGTGGCTTAGCTTGATTCAAGCAGGGTCTGTTACTGAAAAAGGCTAAATGATGCTTAAAAAAGTAAATGACCACTACAATGTGTCCCTCGACTGCTCAATGTATACATGACTCTATTTTTATATACAGTGAGTCCTCACTTAAAGTTGTTAATAAGTTCTTGGAAACTGTGACTTTAAGCAAAAAGTATGATTATAGCAATGCAGGAATGGCTAATTTTTTTAAAAAAGTATAATGAAACCAATCTTCTTTTCTCATCAATATTATAACAAAAAGGCATTGAAGGAAACTACATTATTCTGGGACTCACTGTACAACAATTCACTTAAAGTCCCAGTTTCCAAGAGCCCATCGAAGATGTTAAATTAGAACTTCTTGCAATTTTTTTTTTTTTTTTTGAGACAGAGTCTTGCTCTGTCACCCAGGCTGGAGTGCAGTGGTGTGATCTCGGCTCTGCAACCTCCTCCTCCCAGGTTTAAACAATTCTCGTGCCTCAGCCTCCTGAGTAGCTGGGCTTACAGGTGCACACCACCACACCCAGCTACTTTTTGTATTTTTAGTGGAGATGGGGTTTCACCATGTTGGCTAGGCTGGTCTCAAACTCCTGACCTCAAGTGATCCCCCACCTCAGCCTCCCAAAGTGCTAGGATTACAGGCGTGAGATGTTTAAACTGGTTTTCTGGAAAAAAAAAAAAAAAAGAAAAGAAAAGAAAAAAAAAGTCCTGGTTTATAGCATTTGCCAATTTCTGTTATATAATTACTCCCAGCATGGCTAATTTCAAGCTACCAGCAGCTTAACAACTGGCTTGCAAAATTCCTGGAAATTTAACATTTGGCTCTCAAGCTCTCGTTCCACTGTCCCATCCCATACTAGCCCAGGGTTTGGTCTTACGTCAATTCATGTGGCAATAGCACATTTGAAACAAGCAGAGACTTGAAAAGCACTTGCACATAGGAGCTTACCCTCTCGCTGCACCTGGAACTCTGTTATCAACCATGAGAATGAGCCGGATGACTGAGCTGAACAGTGAGAGACACATGACCCAGTTGTTAGGGAAGCAGGAGCCTGGGAGAGCCACAGTAACCATCATTTTAAGTTCAAACTCCATCTTGAAACTTGAAAGGCACATTCCTTGCCAGCCACAACTCGTCATCCTAAGATGTTTATAGTTGAGGAAAACCTACAAGGACATACTCCTACAATAGCAGAAAGTTCAGAAGTCCCAATTCCCATAACAATATATGCTTTCAAGATAATAATAGTTTTGTTTTGATGTACTCACATACTAAAATGTCAAGAATAGTTTTCTTTAAATGAATAGAATAATAAATGTCACGCTCTCTGCTCACCAGCACATAGGCATAGCTGAGTTTAGTTTTTGCATAGACAGGACCCCTATATAAGAAAAACTTGTCCCTGTCTCAAAAAAAAAGTCCAAACAGTTAGAAGGTGTAATCTGATAACCCACAATCATTGTATCAGTAATCTATTGCCACAATAATGCTGTATAACAAGTCATCTCAAACTCAGTACCTTGAAACAACAATCACACTTGCACGCCCAGAGGTAGTTGGAGTTCAGCAGCTCTGCCCTTGCCTTGACCGCTTTACATTGCAGGTTTTCAGTTAACTGGGGCAGCTCTGCTCCACGGTCTCTCATTCTGAGACCAACAAGCTAACCCCCCCGATATGTTCCTCACAGAGCAAAAGCACGAGAGGACACACAGGAACTCACAACTTGTCCTGAGACGAGGTCACTGTATTAACTATGTTTTCCTATTTTCTGTATCTTGATGCTCTGGCATTTGGAAGCTTTCCAGACGCATGGAAAGTGCCCTTCTCCGGGTTGGCTAATTCTTAAAGATGGGAAATAACTGACTCAGACACCTCCTCTCACATGCAAGCCAACCACCCGCCTTTATCGAACTCTCCTATACCAGCCCCAAAGATAAAGGGAAAAACTATTTCTGGGAGGAAAAAGATCAGACAGTATGAATATTCATACCAGAAAAGCACATCAGGGTCATTACACCCAAGACCGGTCGAACAAATCCTTTTCACCCATTAATCAAGATTTTGTTAAGAAAAAAACAACAGTGATTTTTTACTGTCCACTCAACTGGATTCCAGAGAGAAAGAGACTGGGATTTTGTCTCATAAGAATTTTTTACCCTTCTGCTGACTTGTCAGGTCCTGGTTTCCCTTGACTGCAGCTTCCAGAAGAGCAGAGTTTTGGTATCCTGTTCACAGCACCAAAACTATAGAGGCCAAGGAAAAACTTCTTCACTCTCTGAACATTTGTTGAAAAATCAACTGACAAAAGGCAGATTAATAGGAGAAAAGGCATACAAGTATACTAACGTGTGCAGGAGAGAACCACAAAGTGATTACTTCACCCCTTAATAGGGTAGAGAAACTTTTTTTTTTTTTGAGGCAGGATCTGGTTCTGTCATCTAGGTTAGAATGCAGTGATGCGATCTCAGCTCACTGCAAACTCTGCCTCCTGGGCTTAAGCCATCCTCCTACTTCAGTCTCCCAAGTAACTGAGACTACAGGTACACTCCACCACCCAGCTAATTTTTGTATTTTTAACAATTAAAACAATTTAAATGATGGGGTTTCACCGTGTTGCCCAGGCTTGTCTTGATGTCCTGAGCTCAAGAGATCTGCCCGCCTTGACCTCCCAAAGTGCTGGGAATACAGGCATGAGCCACCACACTCAGCCCAGAAATGTATATACTCTTTTTCATAGTGGAAGGAGGAGATGGAGAATGTAGACAATTCTTTTGAGGGGCAGTAAATGATTATTAGGGAGAATGAATGGATCAGGGAAATAGAAATTAACTTGTAAATGAATCACTTCTGGAATTTGAATAAGCCTGAGAGGCAAGCAATACCTTGCAAAAAAGTCCATCCAGGTGCGGTAGTGTTCTTTATTCATCTTTTCTGAAACAGATAATGAGGTAACAGGAGGGGATAGAAGGCAATTGTATTTCATTTGGTAAGATTTTACTTAATTTACTTAATTAAGAAATTAAGTAAATTAAATAAATAATAGTCAGATAAGAAAATTCTTATCTCCCCTTGGGAGCTGCCACATGGTATTGGGCCTGTGGGTGTGCAGAAGACAAGAATTGAGGTTTGGGAACCTCTGCCTAGATTTCAGAGGATGCATGGAAACACCTGGATGTCCAGGCAGAAGTTTGCTGCAGGGGTAGAGCCCTCATAGAGAACCTCTGGTAGGGCAGTACAGAAGGGAAATGCAGGGTTAGAGCCCTCACGCAGAGTCCCCACTGGGGCACTGCCTAATGGAGTTATGAGAAGAGGGCCACCGACCTCCAGACCCCAGAATGGTAGATTCACTGACAGCTTGCACTATACACCTGGAAAAGCTGCAGGCACTCAATGCGAGCACATGAAAGGAGCTAGAAGGGACCGTGTACCCTGCAAAGCCACAGAGGCAGAGCTATCCAAGGCTGTGGGAGCTCACCCCTTGCATCAGCATGACCTGGATGTGAGACATGGACTCAAAGGAGATCATTTTGGAACTTTAAGGTTTAACGACTGCCCTATTGGATTTTGGACTTTCATGGGGCCTGTAGCCCCTTTGTTTTGGCCAATTTCTCCCTTTTGAAATGGGGGTATTAACCCAATGCCTATACCTCCATTGTATCTAGGAAGTAATTAACTTACTTTTGATTTTACAGGCTCACAGGTGGAAGGGACTTGCCTTGCCTCAGATAAGACTTTGGACTTAGACTTTTGGGTTAATGCTGGAATGAGCTAAGACTTTGGGGGACTGTTGGAAAGTCATAAGTGTGTTTTGAAATCTGAGGACATGAGATTTAGGAGGGACCAGAGGTGGAATTATATGGTTTGGATGTAACCCCACCTAAATCCCATCTTGAATTGTAGTTCCTGTAGCCCCGACATGTCATAGGAGGGACCAAGTGGGAGGTGATTGTATAATGGGGCGATTCCCCCATGCTGTTCTCATGATAGTGAATGAGCTCTCATGAGATCTGATGGTTTTATAAGGGGCTTTTCCCCCTATGCATAGCACTCCTTTTTCCTGCTGCCCTGTGAAGAAGGTACCTTTCTCCCCTTCACCTTCTGCTATGATTGTAAGTTTCCTGAGGCCTTCCCAGCCATCAGAACTGGGAGTTAATTAAACCTCTTATCTTTATAAATCACCCAGTCTCAGGTATTCTTCATAGCAGTATGGGAACAGACTAATACAGGGCCCTTGTGGTCCATATCCCCACAACCTTCAGCTTCTAGTACAGTCCCTTTAGGGCCTCAAATGGTATTTGACACATAGCACATATTCAATCTATGTTTGTCAAATGACTGGAGGACTCTGAAAGTGAGGCCTGCTTACTTGTAGCTGCTGGTTTCATGACTAAACATTTTTACTAAACTGGCCAGAAGCTTGACATCACTCCTGTCAGACTGGTTTGGGTGACTTCATTTCACAGAGCCCACATTCCTCAAAACAGCATCCTCACAGCGTCATCCCTCAAAACAATACCAGCACCTCAAAATAGCATTTCACAGGGTCATCCACTCAAAACACCTCAGCATCATCTCTCAAAACAACATCACACAGCGTCCTCTTTCCCACAGCTCAACCCTGCTTTCCTGGGGCAGCCACCAGATGTAGTAAGGACCCAAACAATGGGAGATAGCACTGCATGGGAGCAGGGACTTCCTCCACTGCATCTTCTCAGAGGGTCTGGAGGAAGCGCCTATCAAAGCTCCTTTCCCAGAGGTGCTTAGGCAAGAGTGAGCAGACACCTTCCTGTGATAAGTCCGCTCATTCATTCCACACCTATTTCTTTTTGTTGTTTTTTTTTCATTAAAAAATTAGAGACAGGGTCCTCTGTGTTACCTCAGCTGGTCTTGAACTCCCGGGATCAAGACATCCTCCTGCCTCAGCCTCCCAAAGTGCTGGGATTACAGGCATGAGCCACCCTGCCCAGCCCCACACCTGTTTCTTAAGGGCTTACCCCATATCAGGCACTGTTCTAGAAGCTGAGGTAAGCCATGAACAGAACAAACTCCCTGGTCTCAGGGAGCTTACACTCTAGTGCAGGAAGACAGACAATAAACAAATAATATTTCAGGCAGTGATAAGTGCTCTGAAGAAAAGCCAATCAGAGTAAGGAGGCACAGAATGGCTAGGAAGAATATGAATGTGTGTTATCCAAGAAAGAGTTTTTAGAGGAGGGGTTCCTGATACAATGAATTTGAGCAGAAACCTGAAGGAAGTGAGGAAGTGATGTCTGTGTGTATCTGGGAGAAAATGGTCCAGGCAGAGGAATTAAAAACACAAAGACCCTGAAGTAAGTGTGTCTGGTGTGTTTGAGGAACAGCAAAGCATCCAGTGTGGCTCAAGTGAGGGTGAGAGGGGTAGGCGATTTGAGAGGCAGCATGGAGCCAGGTCATGAAGATATGGTAGAGATTTTGGATTTTTCCCAAGTAGCACGAGGATCAATTAAAGGGTTCTTAGCAGAGAAGTGACATGATCCAATTTGAGTTATAAAAGGAACACACTGGCTGGCTACAAACTAAACTAGATTTGGCCAAGTGTGGGAGCAGGGAGACAGGAGGCTTTGCAGTAACCCAGCTGAGAGATGATGGTAGCGTGGACCACAGTTGTGGTGGAAGTACCTGGAAATTCACAGAATCTGGAGATATATCTCAAAGGCAGATTTTCTGATGACTTATATGTAAGGCTTTAGAGACAGATGAAAGTCAAAGATGACTCCTGAAATGACTCAGAGCTGAGCAAATAGGAAGAATGCAGCTACTATGGGGAAATGCTTTCAACTCAGCATCTTGCATTTCTCTGAAAAGAAAACGAAAATCAGGAACCAAGAAAAGGACATGCTAAGGACCAGGGTACAGGGATCATGGTTGACTGAAGTTGCTGACCCTGCAAATGTGCATGCTGATGGGCACGTAGATACGAAAGGGGCACAGTGAGGACCATGACGCTGATGGCAGGCATGTGGGTGCAAATGCAGATGAGTGCATTGTACAGGTAGGGTGCCACTTCACGTGTGTGTTAGAACATGCATGTACTGCACGGTACACTCAGGTGAAGTCTTGTTACCTTGTTTTTTTGTTTGTTTGTTTGTTTGTTTGTTTTAATCAGACAAGTTCTCACTCCATCACCCAGGTTGGATTGCAGTGGTGCCATCTCAGATCATTGCAGCCTCAACCTCTTGGGTTCAAGCAATCCTCCCACTTCAGCCTTCTGAGTAGCTGGGACTACAGGCATGTGCCACCATGCCTGGCTAATTTTTGTATTTTTTGTAGAGACAGAGTTTTGCCATGTTTCCCAGGCTGTTCTCAAATTCCTAAACCCAGACAACCTGCCCACCTTGGCTTCCCAAAGTACTAGGATTATAGGTGTGTTCCACTGCACCCAGTCACTCACCCATTTTAACTAATGTATGTACTAGACTTTTGACTGAATTGTTCAGTAAGATTTATCTGGCTCTAAAACCTCCAATGGCAAAACTTTGAGGTTTTATTTGGGACTTGGTGCCTGAGAAGCCCATAGCCTGGAATGAGAACTATTAATACAAGCAGTTTACTCTGAATTCTCACAGACAATAAATTATAGATTCTGTGTAGAAGAGTTTGTTCTTGGGCTCCAGTTTCTCCTTATGGGTAAGCTGGTGAAAATCCGTAACTACTGCAATCAAGAGTATAGTCTTTCCCTCTCGGGTTTCCTCCATCCAAGGATGCCTGCAGATACCCCTTGATGAGCCCACATTGTCTCACATGGTGAAGTTTGCCCTACAATGCTTTTGTTTTTGTTTTTTTTGAGACAGGTTCTCACTCTGTCACCCAGGCTGGAGTGCAGTGGTGCAATCACAGCTTAATGCAGCCTTGACTTCCCAAGCTCAAGTGATCCTCCTGCCTCAGCCTCCCGAGTAGCTGGGACTATGGCTGTGTGCCACCACACCCAGCTAATTTTTTTGTATTTTTTGTAGAGATGGAGTTTTACCATGTTACCCAGGCTGGTCTTGAACTCCGAGGCTCAAATGATTGGCCCACCTCAGCCTCCCAAAGTGCTGAGATTACAGGCATAAGCCACCGGGCCTGGCCCATGCTCTGCAATGTTTACTATTTTTTTCTTTTTTGAGACGGAGTCTTGCTCTGTCTCCCAAGCTGGAGTGCAGTAGCATGATCTCCACTCACTGCAACCTCCGCCTCCCAGGTTCAAGCAATTCTCCTGCCTCGGCCTCCCAAGTAGCTGAGATTACAGGTACATGCCACCACACCAGGCTAATTTTTGTATTTTTAGTAGAGACAGGGTTTCGCCATGTTGGCCAGGCTGGTTTCAAACTCCTGACCTCAGGTGATCCGCCCACCTTGGCCTCTCAAGCTGGGATTACAAGCGTGAGCCACGCGCCTGGCCTGCATTGTTTACTTCTTGCCTCAAACTATTTGTTCCTATTCATGGTCAAGAATTCTTAATTTTTGCTTACATCCATATTTCAAAGAGTATTTGTTTTTGTCTAATGTCTGTAAAATGCTGAATGTCAGCTCAAGTTTCAGCCAGCCACATGATGGGATAGTTCTGCTTTCCCTGCCATGCTGTATTTGTCTCTGGGATCAGCCTTCCTTGTGAGCTTCAACAACAGGATGGATATCTTAAACCCCTCTAAGAAGTCATTCTCACACACTGCACACGGCAGACTGTGAACACTGAGGCAGAGCCTGTGGCACAACCAAGAAGTTTGCAATAAGATTTTGTATATATTCTTTCCGTTACAATGCATCCCTGGATTAGTGACAAAATAAGAAAGCACAAAATGCTTTCAAAATATCCATTCTTGGCAGTCTATTTTAATTAATTTTTTTCTCATTTTCTCATCCCACGGCACAATGTTGACATTCTTGGCAGTCTATAAAGTAGAAGATACCAGTAGATTTTCCTTGATATCATAAACAAATGGTGAATTACTTGTGTTTATTTTATTTTATTTTTTATTTTTTCCATGTTGCCCAGGTTGGTCTCAAACCCCTGGGCTTAAGCGATCCTCCTACCTCGGCCTCCTAAAGTGCTGGAATTACAGGCATGAGCCACCCCCGGGGTATGCAGGTCAGGCCTGGGCATTATGGAAGTATGGCATGCCTGGAATAGTACAGGGCTACTTGGTCCAGTTTTGCCCTTGCTGAAGTCAGAGACATTGGACAAAGTCATAGATCTCCTGGTCTCTAAGATCCACTTTTCTTTTTCTTGAGGCCTATATTTTTATTTTAAGTTTTTAGAGATGGGCCTTTGCTATGTTGCCCAGGCTGGCCCCAAACTTCTGGGCTCAAGAGATCCTCCCACCTCTGCCTCCTGAGTAGCTGGGGCTACAGGTGCATGCCACCACACCCAGCTACTTCTTCGCATAATTTGACTCCCTGACTCACCTTCTCACAGGCTCAGAATCACCCCCGTGGTATGCAGGTCAGGCCTGGGCATTATGGAAGTGTGGCATGCCTGGAATAGTACAGGGCTTCTTGGTCCAGTTTTGCCCTTGCTGAAGTCAGAGACATTGGACAAAGTCACAGATCTCCTGGTCTCTAAGATCCACTTTTCTTTTTCTTTTTCTTTTCTTTTTTTTTTTTTTTTTTTGAGATGGAGTCTTGCTCCGTCACCCAGGCTGGAGTGCAGTAGCATGATCTCGGCTCACTGCAACCTCTGCCTCCTGAGTTAGAGTGATTCTCCTGCCTCAGCCTCCTGAGTAGCTGGGATTACAGGTGCTCGCCACCATGCCTGGCTAATTTTTGTATTTTTAGTAGAGACAGTGTTTTGCCATGTTGGCCAGGCTGGTCTTGAACTCCTGACCTCAGGTGATCCACCCACCTCAGCCTCCCAAAGTGCTGGGATTACAGACGTGAACCACTGTGACTGGTCTACTTTTCTTATTTTGAGCCAAGGAAAGCCCTCCTATTATGTCCAAGTGTGAGGAGTAGCCAAGATTTTTTCCCTGGGAAACCAAAACAGGCTGGGAGAACTCTATCCTATCTAGGCATGTTCATGTTTAGGAAAATGCCTCTGGCTCTCCCTCTGATAATCAGTTGGCTCCATCTTCAGGGGCTGGTAAGGTTTGGTTCTGTGTCCCCATCCAAATCTCATGTTGAATTGTAATCCCCACGTGTCAGGGGAGGGACCTGGTGGGAAGTAATTGGATCACAGGGGCGGTTTCCCTTATGCTGTTCTCATGACAATGACTGAGTTCTCACGAGATCTGATGGTTTAAAAGTGTGTGTCTGTTCCCCCTTGCTCTTTCTCTCTCCTGCTCCACCATGGTAAGACGTGCTTGCTTCCCTTTCACCTTCCACCAGGATTGTGAGTTTCCTGAGGCCTTCCACTCATGCTTCCTGTACAGCCTGTGGACTGTGAGTCAATTAAACTGTGAGTCAATTAAACCTCTTTTCTTCATAAATTACCTAGTCTCGGGTAGTTCCTTTTTTTTTTTTTTTTTTTTTTTTTTTTTGAGACAGGGTCTCACTCTGTTTCCCAGGCCGGAGTGCGGTGGCACAATCTCGGCTCACTGCAACCTCCACCTCCTGGGTTCAAACAGTTGTCCTGCCTCAGCCTCCCAAATAGCTGGGATTACAGGGTGTGCCACCAAGCCTAACTAACTTTTCTATTTTTAGTAGAGACAGGGTTTTACCATGTTGGCCAGGCTGGTCTCGAACTCCTGACCTCAAGTGATCTGCATCTCCCTTGACCTGCCAAAGTGCTCGGATTACAGGCCTGAGCCACCATGTCCTGCCTCATGTAGTTCTTTATAGCAGTGTGAGAACAAATATAGGCGCCAACAGGTTAAGATTATAAGAGCACTGGCCTCGTGCACAAACATTTAGAGAATTCAAGACATCACAATTTTTCTAAACTACAATTATTCCCAGAACCCAAAACATACTGAAATCCAGATCCCTATTGTTTTATTGCCTTTCATGCAAGAACAATAGGTAGTCAATACTTAGCTAAGTGGAGTGTTTATTCTGTACAGGCATTTGGGCGATGCAGTGGGATTCAAACCTGCATGAGCCATGTTTTTCCTTAAAATACGATGAGAATGATGCAAGAAAATTGCAGAACCTTCAAGACTGGAAATAATAGCTTTGGAGAAATCTTTTTTTTTTTTTCTTTTTTGTGAGATGGAGTCTCACTCTTGCCCAGGCTGGAGTACAGTGGTGCCATCTCAGCTCACCGCAACCTCTGCCTTCCAGGTTCAAGCAATTCTTCTGTCTCAGCCTCTCAAGTAGCTGGGACTACAGGCGCCTGCCACCATGCCCAACTAATTTTCATATTTTTAGTAGAGATGGGGTTTTGCCATGTTGGCCAGGCTGGTCTTGACCTCTTGACTTCAAGTGATCCTCCTGCCTCGGCCTCCCAAAGTGCTGGGATTACAGGCAAAAGTCACCACGCCCAGCCAGCTTTGGACAAATCTCACACTTGAGACTAAGTGTTCCACTCGAAGAGCAAGGTATTATTTAGTGTTATGTAAGTTCATCAAACTATGAACACTAAGAAATTTCCTCATAATTTTGAAAATGAGAAGTTGATATAAACCATGCCTCCACAATTGCTTAAGAAATTGGATTCTGTCCTGGAAGAGAAGGAGGCTTACAGTAGCTTACGGAGGCTGCTTCAGAGCTCTTGCTTGATTCCAGCACTGAGCTAGGACTCTTAACAGACTTGGCTGCTATGACAGGATAAGCCAGGAAGAAAAGCAGTCCTCCTAGCTTGCCATCTTCCAGGGCACTCTTAGTCAACACAATAAGCTGAAGCTCATGGAAGTAGGAAAGACCCATGATTGGAAGACAGAGTCTTACTTTGTCACCCTGGCTGGAGTAAAGTAGCACAATCTCGGCTCACTGCAGCCTCGACCTCCTGGGCTCAAGTGATCCTCCTGCCTTAGCCCCCCAGGTAGCTGGGACTACAGGTGCACATCACCACGGCCCCACTAATTTTTTGTATTTTTTGTAGAGATGGGGTTTTGCCATGTTGCCCAGACTGGTCTCAAACTCCTGAGCTCAAGAGATCCACCTGCCTCGGCCTCCCAAAGTGTTGGGATTACAGGGGTGAGCCACCGCGCCCAGCCAAGAGGATCTTTATTGAGCGATCAGAATCCAGGTCCTCAAGCAAGAATTCAACTTAGTGCTGTCTAAGCTCCTTCCCTCCCGCACTATGGTTTTCTCAGACTACAGAGAAGTGACTCTACGCAGAACTGTACCCAGTACTCAAACTATAGCTCTGAAGGGAAGATACATTGGTCTCAAATGAATGAGAAAGCTATCAAAAAGATTTCAGTTGCACTAAAGTCCAAGAAAATGTTCTAGGTCTGCCCATGATAACTTTGAGAAGGAAAAAAAGAAAAAAGAAAAAAACAGTGACCTTTCCATTAGGCAAACATACTACAGGCAGCAAAGAAGAAACACATCACATAAAAGGCAGAGAACCCAGTCTGAAACTACAACTGAGAACAAAGGCCCTCCGTACAAAAACTCATACACAAAGGTTTATATTAGCATTATTCATATTTGACAAAAGGTAGAAACAACCTAAATGTGCATCAACTGATGAATAGATAAACAAAATGTGGTATATCCATACAATGAAATATAATTTGGCTATAAAAAAGAAGTACTGATACATGCTCTCACCTAGATGAAGCTTTAAAACATTATGCTAAGCGTGGGCTAGATGGGGTGGCTCGCGCCTTTAATCCCAGCACTTTGGGAGGCCTAGGTAGTAGGATCACTTGAACCCAGGAGTTTGAGACCAGCCTGGGCAACAGAGGGAGAGACCCTGTCTCTACAAACAAAAAATTAAAAACAAAACAAAACATTATGCTAAGTGAAAGAAGCCAGTCACATAAAACCACATATTATGTGATTCCATGCATATAGAATGTCCAAATAGGCAAATTATCTATGTAGACAAACAGTAGATTAGTGGTTGCTGATAACTAGGGGGTAGAAGGGTAAGGGAGTGACAGCCTAAGTGTATGCGGTTTCTTTTCGAGATGATAAAAACAGGCCAGCGTGGTAGTGCACGCCTGTAATCCCAGGAGTTTCGGAGCTTGAGTCCAGGATTTTGAGTACAGCCTAGATAACATAGTGGAAGCCCATCTCTAAAAAATAATGCAGAAATTATCCAGGCATGGTGGTACACAAGTGTAGTCCCAGCTACTCTGTAGGCTGAGGTAGCACGATAACTTGATCCTGTGAGGTTGAGGCTGCAGTGAGCCACGATTGTGCCACTGCAGTCCAGCCTGAGCAACAGAGCAAGACCTTGTCTCAGAAAAAAAGAAAGAGGACTGGGCGCAGTGGCTTATGCCTATAATCCCAGCACTTTGGGAGGCCGAGGCGGGTGGATCACGAGGTCAGGAGATCGAGACCATCCTGGCTAACACAGTGAAACCCCATCTCTACTAAAAATACAAAAAAAAAAAAAAAAAATTAGCCGGGCGTGATGGTGGGGGCCTGTAGTCCCAGCTACTTGGGAGGCTGAGGCAGGAGAATGGCGTGAACCCAGGAGGCGGAGCTTAAAGTGGGCCCAGATCACGCCACTGCACTCCAACCTGGGCGACAGAGCAAGACTCGTCTCAAAAAAAAAACAAAGAAAAAAAGAAAATAAATGATAAAAATATTCTATATAGACGCTGGGTGCATAACCTATGAATTAGCCCTGCTCCACAAGGAGCAGCACCATTCAATAAAAGATTGCAAAAATAAGATTAATAAAAATATTCTATAATTGAATGTGGTCATGGTTGCATATATTTGCGAATATACTAAAAACCATAGAATTGTACACGTTAAATTGTATAGTGTGTGAATTATCTCTCAATAAATCTGTTTAAAATGTAAGAACTAACAATGTTATCTAAAACAAACTCATTTAAACACAAAAAAAGAAGACGCAGAAAATCTGACAAGGCATGGGCAAAGATGTTTTACAGAAAGACATAAAGTCACATTTTCTGAAACCGCTGATGCTAGAAAAGAATATAATAACATGACTTCAATAAAATAAGTTCCAGAAGATGATGCATCGATTAAGGTCTGGTCAGAAAAACAGAAACCACATTGATTATTTCAACAGAGAGAATTTAACATAGGGAATTGGTTAAATAGGCACTCAAGAGATGGCAAAACAAAAAGGGTTAGTGAGGTAACACAGAGTGAGTAACTGCAGTAAGCAGCCACCACCCCTGGGGAAATAAAGGAATAAAGGGAAATAAAGGAGAGAGGTGGATGTTATCTGAACCTTCTATGTAGAAGAGAAGCCCCAAAGAGTTGGGACATGGACCTCTGAGGAAGGGGTACCCTGGATGCTCCTGAGTTCGAAGAAGAGGCCCCGTGGAGCTGGGTCTTAGGCCTCTAGGGAGGGGTGCGGTCCAGCTGCTGCTTATTCCTCTGAGGGGGTAAAACAAGGCTAATTCTATTCTAATCAGAGAATGCAAGGGAAATTGGAAACTGGAACCAGCTGCTGCAGTTGGGCTGACATACCGTTCTGGGGTCATTCTGACAAAAATTACATGCGAACAGGAAGGAGCGAAAGACTTCTCCTTTCTTCTGCCTTCTTTTTTTTTTTTCTTGAGATGGAGTTTCACTCTCGTCGCCCAGGCTGGAGTGCAATGGCACCATCTTGGCTCACCGCAACCTCCGCCTCCCAGGTTCAGGCGATTCTCCTACCTCAGCCTCCTGAGTAGCTGGGATTACAGGCATGCACCACCATGCCTGGCTTTATATTTATATATATACTTTATATATATATATATTTTATATATATATTTTACATTTTTTAAAATATATATATATATATATATATATATTTTTTTTTTTTTTTTTTTAGTAGAGACCAGGTTTCTCCATGTTGGTGGGGCTGGTCTCAAACTCCCGACCTCAGGTGATCTGCCCACCTTGGCCTCCCAAATTGCTGGGATTACAGGGGTGAGCCACCGCGCCCGGCCTTCTTCTGCCTTCTATCTTTTTGCCACCGTGCCTGGCCTTCTTCTGCCTTCTAATCTTTTTCTAGTTGCCCACTATTTGCAGAGCCTAACAGAGAGCTAGCTGTTAAGAGGTGTAGTTTGCAGATTTCTTCTATAATTTTTTTTTTTTGAACAGTATCTCGTTATGTTGCCCAGGCTGGTCTTGAATTGCTGGACTCAAGTGATCATCCTGCCTCAACCTCCAGAGTGTCTGGGACCACGGGGGCATGCCACTATGCCTGGCTAATACTTTTAAATTTTTTTTGTAGAGATGGGTTCTTGCTATGTTGCTCAGGCTGGTCTTGAACTCCTGGGCTCAAGTGATCCTCCTGCCTCAGCTTCCCAAAATGCTGGGATTACAGGCGTGAGTCACTGTGCCTGGCCATTCACATTTTTATAAAATTAAAAGAAATACATAAAAGAAGAAAAAAGCAAAACCTGAGGATAGGTGTTATTTAACAAAAGAGGAAAGCATTTTTATTTTTAGTTTGTTGTTGTTGTTGTTTTGAGACAAGGTCTGGCTCTCTCGCCCACTGGAGCACAGTGGTGTGATCTCAGCTCACTGCAACCTCTGTCTCCCAGGCTAAACCATCCTGCCATCTCAGTCTCCCAAGTAGCTGGGACTACAGGCGCACACCGTCATGCCCAGCTAATTTTTTTGTATTTTTTGTACAGATGGGGTTTCACCATGTTGCCTAGACTGGTCTCAAATATGTGAGCTCAAGCGATCCGCCCTCCTTGGCCCCCCAAAGTGCTGAGATTACAGGCATGAGCCACTGTGCCTGGCCAGGAGGTCATTTTTAAACATGAAATAACTTGCAATATGAGGATATCATGGAATGAACAAAAATTTTTTTGTAATTCCTCCCATCAAAAGATAAAGTCTTTTGAATCTGGGCTGGCGTCATGATTTGTTTTCACCAATAAATTGTGGTGGAAGGGATACTATTTGAGTTCCAAGCTGAGCCCTCTCAAGAGGCCTTGCAGCTTCCATTCTTAGTCTGCTACCATGTGAACAAGCCTGAGCTAGCCTGTTGGAGAGACTACAAGGTGCCTTGGCTGATCACCAAACCTCAACCATTAAGTTAAGCCACCAGCTGACTGTTATTGCATAAGTGAGCCAGGAAAGATCCACAAAACCTCCCAGTTGAACCCAGCCAAATTCACCAACCCACAGGTTGTGATCGAATAAACAAATAATCGTTGGGGGTAGTTTGTAACACAAGTAAATGCTAACTGATACATGATGAAATCTATATAAGCAAATCAAAATGAACAGGTCAGAAATAGAGCAGTGAACAATGAATATACTTAAATACTGAAATTAAGACAAATCAACAGGGAAATCATGGATAAAATAGAATGTAAATATCATAAAACCTGACGAAGTATTTTTTGACAAAGTATTAATATAATAAAAAATTATAAGCAAAAAATTAGGAAGGACAGGGAAGAGGTGGTAGAAAGTCAGACTGTTTTTTTATTTTTGAGACAGAGTCTCTCTCTGTTGCCCAGGCTGGAGTGCAGTGGCACGATCTTGGCTCACCACAACCTCCACCTCCTGGGTTCAAGTGATTCTCCTGCCTCAGCCTCCCAAGTAGCTGGGACCACAGGCGCACACCACCATGCCCAGCCAATTTTTGTATTTTTAGTAGAGATGGGGTTTCAGTATGTTGGCCAGGCTGGTCTCAAACTCCTGACCTCGTGATCCACCCGCCTTGGCCTCCCAAAGTGCTGGGATTACAGGCGTGAGCCACCGCGCTCAGCAAAAGTCAGACTGTTAATCTATCTTCAATGGAAAGGAATTCAGCACTGATCAATACTGAAACATACAGTTTGAAAAATTACAATGTCCTATTAATGATATTTATAATTTTAACCTTTGAGGTTGAGCACAGTGGCTTATGCCTGTAGTCTCAGCTACTACAGAGGCTGAGGTGGAAGGATCATGTGAATCATTCCAGTTCAAGGCCGCAGCTATGCAGTTCAGCCACTGCATTCCAGCCTCAGCAAGACGCCCACTTTTAAATAAATAAATAAATAAATAAATAAATAAATAAATAAATAAATTTTTAGCCTTTGAGAAATGTTTTATGAATCATTTTCTCTTGAGATGAAGTAACAGTTATCTGATCAGTTCCTTCTGTTTTTCTCTTTTGTCAAATTCAAATGAAAACAAATTCAATACTGTATTTAAAAAAATACTTTGTTTTAAAAATAATATGTGGAGAAAGAACCTATTATTGTTAATGTTACTCTAGCTGCATATTTCTCTGTTCATCCTTAAATCTGTATTTATGCCTATAATAATGGTGTTCACCAAATGTGAATAGTTTTCTGTGATACTAAAATTGGGATGATTTAAACCGTTTTGCATTTCTGAAAAATTTTATAAAGGGCTTGTATTTTTAATTTTTTTGTACAGACGGGGGTCTCACTATGTTTCCCAGGCTGGTTTTGAACTCCTGCCCTCAAGTGATCCTCCCATCTTGGCCTCCCAAAGTGCTGGGATTACAGGTGTGGACCTCTGTGCCCAACCAAGCTTATATTATTTTTATCAAATTGACAAGCTTACAAAAAGAGTTTACTAGGAGTTTCACAAACAGTCTCAGTGGAAAAGAGCATTTGCATAAGGAATATTAAAATGCTCAAAGATTTATGCTCTAAGATGTGATCTGTCTAAATTGGTGGTTCTCAGTCATGGCTATACATTAAAACTACTGAGGAGTTGTGTTTTTTTTTGTTGTTGTTGTTGTTGTTGTTGTTTGTTTGTTTTTGAGATGGAGTTTTGCTCTTGTCGCCCAGGCTGGAGTGCAATGACGCGATCTTGGCTCACTGCAACCTCCACCTCCCGGGTTCAAGTGATTCTCCTGCCTCAGCCTCCCTAGTAGCTGGGATTACAGGTGCCCACCACTACACCCGGCTAATTTTTGTATTTTTAGTAGAGATGGGGTTTCACCATGTTGGCCAGGCTGGTCTCGAACCCCTGACCTTAGGTGACCCGCCCACCTCAGCCTCCCAAAGTGCTGGGATTACAGGCGTGAGCCACCATGCCCGGCTGTAAGGAGCTTTTAAAAAGTACCCATGTCCACGCTTCAGCTAAGACCCATTAAATCCAAATCTCTGGTGGTAGGGCTTGGGAATTAATATATTTTAAATGTTCCCCAGGTGATTCTGATGTGCAACTCTGGTTGAGAACCACTGGACTCAACAGGCCAACGAGACACATTCCCAAACGCAATGCTTGTTGCTGGAAATTCAAGACACTCCATTCTGTGCCTCCTCCAGTCCATACGGGCATACACACCAGGACCAGTTGTTAAGGTAGAAGGGGAGAGAGAACACTGGATAGGCTACTGGCAGTCTGATTTCCCTTGTGGTCATAAGATGCCTGTCAGCGGGAACTGTGGCAACATGTTTTCTTGTTTACACTCAGGGGAGAGAGACTGGACTGGCTTTTCTTCCTCCAGAAGCTCTGAGTTAGCACCTCTTTGTGTCTCACTGGCTCAAAATGGATAAGGCACGCCCATTACAGAACCAGTTTCTAGCAAGCGGAGTGGAATTATTGTGATTGGCTTACTAATGTTTCTCAAACTTTATTGTGCATAGGAATTGCCCGGGAATCTTGTTAAAATGCAGATTCTGATTAAGCTGATCTGGCATGGGGCCAAGATTCTGCATTTCTAACAAGCTCCCAGGTGACGAGAATGGCTGTTGGGGTGTCAATTACAATGTCCACCTCAACTACCAAGCACACGAGATATTTACATTAGCTTGAGGAGTATATTCTTTCCTTGTAGGTAAATCTAAAGAGAAGCCAATTATAATCAGAAGTGCTTAATGAGCATGGCAGATTGCAAAGCATATGTGAAGGCACAGAAGCAAGAAACTGCTCACTGTGCATAGGGAATCATGAGCTCCAGAGGAGATAGGGACATAGGCAGATCACTAAAGGGTGGGGCTTTAATCTGCGTCTTGCAGAGCACCAAACCTGTAAGAGATTCTCCACGAAGAAACGTCTTCTAGGGTCAAATTTGGTTGGGACACATTGCATATTATGTCCCTCACTTGGATATTTACAATGCATATTTTGATTTTAAAGGCACTAATAAGTCTGGCAGAAAATAAACCTTTTGTCACATAGAGATAATACCTCATAGGTAATTTGTGGAGCTCAGTTCAAAATGAAAATGAGGGGCCCTTTTGTCAAAAACCACTAAGACTTTCTAGATGGTGACATCAGAGCATTAAACCAATCGTAGAATCTTTTTAGGCACCCCCCAGGCCTTGTTCAACTGCACAGGTCACGTGCCTGTGCTGAAGCTGGCCTTGTTCATGGGGATATCTGGAACATTAAATGAGACAATGTATGGAAAGTGCTTTGGTGCTTGCATGTTGTTAGTACCAAACAAATAACTATAGCTTACACGTGGCTTTTAGTAGGACTCTTGGTTGTAACAGAAATTCACTTTATCTAGCTTAAGCAAAGAAGCAGAATTTACCATAAGGATCCAGGAATGCGGCTCAGACTCCAAGGGTAGAGGCAGCCAGCCAGGCACAGAAACATGTGAAAGAGAGACATTGTCAGCACTCTCCTTTTCTCTCTCAACTCCACTCTTTCTCTACAGGTTCCCTGTCTTACAGGATGGAACCAGTCTGCCCAAGGGATCCCAGGTCCAAGAGACTTTCGAGGTTGGGGTCTCTTAGTCCCAATTCCATATTCTAAGGGAGGGCCTGTGATGGATTTATCTAGTTTCACCCACACTAAGCAACTGTATATAAAGACTCTTCTGCTATTATCAGCTCAACGGAGGGGAAAGGAGAAGGAAGGCAAAATGTGTACACCCCAGCATCTCCCATTCTTACTTGATCGTGAGACATTTCTTAAAGGAACATCTATTAACACTGAACACAGCACACTAGGGAAATGCTGTCGTGGGTGATGGGGAGCAATGAGATGGTTGAAGCAGAGGCCTGAGCGCCAGGAATTGGATTTGCATTTTAGATAGCAGTGAGCAGAACTGATTGGAGGGAGTGAGACTGGAGACAGGAAAGCTGATTAAGAGCCAGCTACAGAAATCCAGACCTGGGAAGCAAGGCTAGCATTAGTGAGGAGGCAGAGGAAGACTGTCTCCAGAATTACTTGGGAAGTAAAAATCTGCGAGGCTTGGTAAGTTATTTATATTTGGAGTCGGGGTAAGAGGAAGAGACAAGGATGGTTCTCAGAGGTGTAATTTGGGGAATGAATAGGTGGTGACACTGCCAATTACAGAGACAGTACAAGAGTGGGGGGTAGGGGATGGGTGTGACTTCAGTTTTTAACATGCTTGGTGACAAGAAAATTCAAGTGAAAATATCTAGAAGCCTGAAATATGAGCCTAAGGTAGGGGCTTGGGATGGATTTCAATGTCAGACATTTTTCAGTAATAGTTAAAAACCGAAGAGCCCATGTGTATTCAACAGGCACTTGCGGGCACAGTGTGAAACAAAACACAAGGTCCTTGCCCTCGTGGAGCTCACAGTCGCCTAGGGAAGACATATATTAAGCAAACTATACGGGAGGCCCTGAATATTTACGAAGTGCAGCATGTCAGGAGAGCCAGGAGCTGTGCAAACAAACCATCAAGAACAAATCGGACACGGTGCCTGTTACAGCTGTGTGACCTGGAGCCGGTTAGGTTAGAATCCTGGAATCACCACTGCTTTGCATGGGGGTCCAGGACAGCAAGGCAGATTTGGAGTTTCCAACTAGCCTGTAAACGGGGAAGGAGAGAGCGCTTAGTACGCGAGAAAAAGAAACAGCCAACGAGTGAGAATCACTGGCCCAGCTGGAGAACGACCTGAGTTTCCTTTGTGTGCACCGGGACCAAGCACTGGGGGCCGACAATTTGCTGAGAGCTGGCTCCACCTGCCTGGGGTGCAACCACGAGAAGAGTGACAGCCCTCTCGCAGGGTACAATCTTCCACCCCCAGATGCATCTCCCTCGTCTGGTTGTGGGGAGGTACAGAGTGAAAGTTAAAGGCCTGAATTAACGTCCGGCTCTTGTGGGCGCCAGCACTCTGGAAGCGAAATGCCAGGAGTACCCCACGGTGGGCGGCGCGGGCGCAGACACCCGCACACCCAGTTGGGGGAAAACAGTGAGCAACCGGGTAGGAAGCCGAGGGTAAGAAGATTCAGAAGGCGAGGCCCCACGCGGGAAGACAGTCGAACACAGCGTTTGGCAACAGTACGCCTGCGCTCTCCGAGCCCGCCGCGGCGGAGCCCAGGAGGGAAGCGCGAGCCCGCAAGGTGAGGGCGGGGGAGGGCACGCCGGAGAGGCGGCCAAACACGTGAGAGCGCGGAGAACGTGCGCACGCGCAGGGCGCCCCCGGCCCGCGCGGCGGCAGCGCGGGAGCAGGGACGCAAGGCATTAAAAGGAGCCGCGCCTTGGTGAGCGCTCCCCCTCCCCTTTCTCCCGGGGTGCACTGCGCGCGCCCGGTGGGCGGGGGGGAGGGGAGGGCAGGCGGCGGTGGCAGCCATGTTGTTGTGAGTCTCTGTGTCTCACCCTCGGTACTTCGGTGGTTCGGAGGAGGAGGGGGAGGAGAAGGAGGAGGTGGGGTGGGGGGGGAGGGTGGTAGGTGGAGAAAGAAGACATTGCCGCCACCGAAGGCGGAGGAGGGGGAGGACCGCCAAGAGCGACGCCGCCGTGTGCCCAACGGTCGGTGTCCCCGGCTGAGGCAGCGCGGCCGCAGCAGCCCTGTAAGTCAGTCCGCGTTCGCTCTTTCTCCGGTCCTTTGGCGCCGTCGAGGATGGCTCCCCAGGCTTTGTGCGGCGGCCTCGGCGGGAGCCGATCGCCAGCGGGAGGGCGGATAGGGCCTGCTGAGTGCCCGGGCCGGTGCGGCCTGGGGCCCGCTCGCACAATGCAGGGGGAGGGGTGCCGGAAGGGGGTGTGCGCGTGCGGGGGAGGGGGCGCCGCGCCGGCCGCTTTCCCGCTTCCTTCCCTCTGCGGGGCCGCCGCCTCGGGGGCGTGGGGCGCCGACCCGGTTCTCCCTCCGATTCGGCGCGCTGGAGGTTAGAGACCGAGCTGTCGGCCCTAGGGTTCGGAAAGAGGGGAGAGGCCGGGTGGCCCCAGAGAAGCATGCGGATTGCAAGTGGGTGAAGAGGAAGGAGTGGGTTTATGAAAACAAGTGTGGGCATTTTCAAAGGCCCGAGTGTGTCCGGGAAAAGCTTGCCGTGGACAGATGTGGGTATGAAGCAGTGACTTGGATTCGCCTTGTTTAGGTTATAGGAACGGATTTCGATATTCAGAAAAATATGTAAATTAAAACCAAAGACAAGATTAGCGGCTTCTACTATTTGAGCAGTAGTTTTGTATCTGAATTGGGTCAGGTTTTGGGGAAAATGTTTAAAGTTTCATGCCCAAACACGTGTAAAAGTTAGTGTTGTTTCTGAAAACACAGCCAGAGAAAACCTACTTAACTTAGCTTTTTATTCTAACATACGTAAACTTTTGAAGAGAGGAATGTATTGCCAGCATATTAGGTGCAATAAGACATCATGTTAGGACTTAGTACTTTGAGATTTTTACTTGTTGAGAAAACGGGGCAGATGTTTTGGTGAAGGAAAACATGAGAAAAATGCTTGTAAACGGTGAAGAGAAATGTAATACCTGTAAAGGTACTGTATGTCAAGAAAACAATTTTAATAAAGGGAGTTACCGAAGGATTTTAAAAGCTTGTTTAATGGTTAGATTTCGTGTTTAACAGGTGACTCTTCACCATGTGACCTGGAGTATTGGAAGATGACTTAAGGAATCCTGTAAATAAAAAAAAAAAAACAAAAATGAGTATTTTCAACTTGTTTCTCTTCCTAGCCTCCTTTTAAACAATGATTTACTTCATTTGCTCAATCATTATGAATAAAAATGATGGCATTTTCCGTGCTGCAAGAATTTCTTTAAAATTCCGATTTTTGGTGAAATTGCATTGTGTAGAATTTTCTTGGTGTGCATGAGGGCAGTTTTTGTATGCAGAAAAGGTTTACGATAATCTTAAAAATAAAATTTTATTTCAGAAACCTGGTTCTTGAGGATTTAAGTCCAGTTTTTAAATTTTGTTTACAGGTCTAGCTATTTTGAGTTATAATTGCCAGTAACTTACGCATTTTCCAGCAATTTAAGCTGTGTTTAACACATGCTTTCCTTAATTTGAGTCCAAAGTTCTCTTAGGTGTTTCAGCATTTAGCAAGATTTCAACTTTTTAAAAGAGCCTAAATTAATTACTGACATTTACTTTGCTCTTACAAAGCTGTCACTTTAGAATAAATTCTCAGGCATTACAAATACTGTATATAAATTACCAAATAATACTTGGATTTTGTTTCTCTCAAGCATTCCATACTTGTTTATGAATCTTTTTTTCTTGTTTGAGACAGGGTCTGGTTCTGTCGCCCAGACTGCAGTGCAGGTGGTGAGATCTGGGCTCACTGCAGCCTCCGCGTCCCGGGCTGCAACTGTTCTTCCACCTGAGCCTTCCGAGTAACTGTAGCTGGGGGTACAGGCGCACGCCACCACGCCCGGCTAATTTTTGCATTTTTTGTAGAGACAGGGTCTCACTGTGTTTCCTGGGCTGAACTCCGATCTCAAGCGATCCTCCCGCCTCGCCCTCCCAGAGTGCCGGGATTACAGGCGTGAGCCACCACACCCGGCTTGTTTATAAACCTTTCTGGTGTGGAAAGATAATTTGCCTTCCGGAGTAGGTACTTATCTTAGTTAACAAAAGTAATTATGACCAGAGATTTGGGCCAGGTGTGAAATCCACAGCCAATTTTCTCAGTGACCAAGCTGTCTCCTTTTTATAGACCCTAACATGATCTGCATAGTTTTAAGTGGAGGTTGATTCCTGTCTCCTAAACTCAAGTTCTACATACGTCCTAACTTAAATACCTTGTTGGGTTTCCAGGATATGGAAATACTTGTATTTTTTCATATTCTTAAAATTTACAGATATTTAAAATATCCGAATATTTGAGTCTCACATGGCTTTGTCTACATGGCTGCAATCACAGCTTGAGACCATTTTACTAACAGGTGTGATTAAGATAAAAATTACACTTATAGCCAGGTAAATTGGTCTGTGGCATATTAAGATTTCTTGCTTTTTTTCTTTATTATTATTATTATTATTATTAATTTTTAATATAGGTGAGGTCTTGCTGTGTTGCCCAGGCTGGTCTCAAACTCCTGGGCTCAAGCAGTTCTCCCGCCTTGGCCTCCCAAAATGTTGGTATTAAAAGCATGAGCCCCGGTGCCAGACCCTTGCTGTTTTTAGGAAATGCATTAAAATAGTCTGACTTGTTCGTTTTGTCCTGCCTCCTCACTTCGCTTTGATGAGTTTGTAAGAGGGAACGCTGATGAAATATGGCAGAGCCCCTTCCTCGCTTTCTCTCTGGGAGTCTTCTCCCTGCAGAAAGCACTTAATTTGCCCTGCTTTTTCATGTGACTACCAAAGTTAGACTCCCCATTTCCAGAGGACAGTAGTTGTCCAGTGCTACTTGTGACTGGGTTAGAATAATTATGGAGTGTGTTTGGAAGCCCACTTGGCCTAGGTCTAAATTATGCCTCCACTGTGGTTTTATCAGTAGTAAAGGAAATCTTTGGATTAACACAAGTCCAACTACTGTGTCTTTCAGTCAGTTCGGAATTCTGTTGTGGAAAAAGGTTTCCTCAAACCCTATCATTTAGGAGCTAATATTTTAATAGTGATTTTTATATTTGGCAATATATATAGACAGGAGACAGTTTTTATTTAAAACTTAATTGCTTTTGTAGTTGAAAAAGTGGAAGTTTTCTATTTTCAAGCTTTTCCAGTGAGTGAAACGCTGTATAGAATTATTAGGTAGGTGCGTGATAAATGCTTTTTCTTTGAGTTTCATGTAGCATTATGTTTAGAGACATGTTAGTGTTTTTTTTCCTTAGTGACTTTTTCTTCAAATAACTCGAGAGTTATCTTTTTAAATGAAAAATCAAGACACGCCTAATTAAACACAAATATTAAAAGTTTTATTTGACCTTTGGCTGGTTCCTTTTTATGGTCTTAAGTGCTTTAGAGAATTTTTAAACAGATTGTTTATTTAAGCTGTTGGCAAAAGCATAGTTTCATTAGTAAGTTCCATTCTGCAAGTTTAGCTACTGGATCCCAACCATTTTCAGGTTGCGTATTGCATATTGTTGATTTTCACATCTTACTCTCTCACTGTTCTCTTGTGGAGGAATAAAAGATTTTAGAATAGAGTACTGGGAAATATCAAAATGTACACACCTTGTATGCATATCACTGTAGCTGGCAAGTGCAAAAAAAGAAGTAGCATGAAGTGTAAAAGGAGAAGGGAGGTAATTGAAGTGTTAGATGGTTTGATTGACTGCAAATGGGACAGGAAAAAAAAGGTAGTCATCACCTATTTGGAGCTAAATATGTTGGGACCACAGAAGCCCCCTAAAATGTTTCCTGGAAGGGACTTGGTACAATTGGCTATGAAATTGTACTCAAAACCACTTAGTCAGTACTGCCCAGGGAAATGGAACCTGTAGCTGGCTGCCAACACACATACAATGTGGTCATGGCGGGGCGGTAGGGAAGGATTATTTACATTTTTTTAGTTCTGGGGAAAAATACACTAATGGAGGAAACCTGGTTTGAGGACAGCTCTTTGATCTATCTTATTGTAGTAGCCATCTTATGACAAGAGTAAGAAGTTCTGGATCTCAAAGTGGTGATCCCTGACTTTAGGCAGTTTCTGAAAAACTTAAGATCAGTGAGAGAAAGATGCAATTGGTCTTATTCATTCAGACATGAAATAAGGCAAATGAGTGTTAGAGGGAGAGTGCCCCTAAGTATAGGTCTTTATTAGGCAGTCAAATGAAGCAAACTGTAGGAAGAAAAAAATGTGGATTGTATTGTATGATTTTTATAAATACCAAAAATGTATACAGATTGGAACTACTTGTATCTTCCATTTTCTTGACCATGTCATTTTTAAGTTAGTTTATTAAGAACATCTCCATAGTAGCTTATCGGTAGTTTTAGCATGATTACATGCAAAAACATTCAGTTATCTATGATAAAACTTGAATCTTTAAAACCAATTCAACATGAACAGAATTATGTTTTGAAGTTGAGAGGATAGTGGCTCCAGGTTTTGCCTATAGGTGTTTTCTTGGACCACCTTTCAATGGAAGTGTAATTTATTACTTTTTTTCCAAAGGAGAGTCTTAGGTGCCCTCGTCTTAATATCTAAATTATGTGCATCCTACACTAGCAAGAATAGGAGTGCTCTACGCTCTTGCTAAAGGTAAATTGTTTGCCAGTTCTTTCAGAATCGTGGTTGAGAAAATATTCATGGAGTATGGACATTCAGTCCATTTGTAGTCTGAATATTAAAATTGTGTCTTTTCATCACGCTAAAATACCTGCACAAGTTTTTTGGAGACAGAGTTTCGCTCTTGTTGCCCAGGCTGGAGTACAATGGCGTGATCTCGGCTCACTGCAACCTCCGCCTCCCAGGTTCAACCGATTCTCCTGCCTCAGCCTCCCAAGAAGCTGGGATTACAGGCGCCCACCACCATGCCCGGCTAATTTTTGTATTTTTGGAAGAGATGGGGTTTCACTGTTGGCCAGGCTGGTCTTGAACTCCTGACCTCAAGTGATCCACCTGCTTCATCCTCCCAAAATGCTGGGATTACAGGCGTGAGCCACTGTGCCTCGCCCCACACATTTTTTTTTTGAGCGTTGCAGATGTATCGTGCCACACTGTCCTTAGATGCTGGTGATACGGTGATATGTGGTCCTTGTTTTTAAGACCTTTATAGGAAAGTGGAGAGAAGATTAAACTTGTGATTACAGTGCAGCATGCTAGCCTGCCACTGAGGTGGTATTATAAAAGTGCTGTGGTGTGGGCACGTGGCCCATGCCTGTAATCTCAACACTTTGGGAGACTGAGGCGGGACGATCACTTGAGTCCAGGAATTCAAGACCAGCCTGGCCAGCATAGGGAGACCTTGTCTCTAAAAAAATTAAAAAATTAGTCTGGCATGGTGGCACGCACTTACAGTCCAAGCTATTTGGGAGGCTGAGGTGGGAATGAGGTGGGAAGGTCACTTGAATCCAGGAGACTGAGGCTGCAGTGAGTTGTGATCGTGCCGCTGCACTCCAGACTGGGCGACAGAGGGAGGCCCTGTCTCCCCGGCCCCGCCGCAAAAAAAAAAAAAAGAAAAAAGTGCTGTGGACACATGTAGGTAGAGACTGCAGGGACAGGAAAAGCTTTCCACAAGAGGTAAAGCGGAATCTTCTTTTCTTTTTTTTTTTTTTTTTTTTTTGAGACAGAGTCTCCCTCCGTTGCTCTGGCTGGAGTGCAGTGGCACTATCACAACTCACTGCAAGCTCCGCCTCCCGGGTTCACGCCCTTCTCCTGCCTCAGCCTCCTGAGTAGCTGGGACTACAGGCGCCCGCCACGAAGCCCTGCTATTTTTTTTGTATTTTTAGTAGAGACGGGGTTTCACCATGTTAGCCAGGATGGTCTCCATCTCCTGACCTCGTGATCCGCCGGCCTCAGCCTCCCAAAGTGCTGGGATTACAGGTGTGAGCCACTGTGCCCAGCTGCGGAATCTTAAAATGTTATAGAAGTTAATTTAGTCCCGAGATGGGTGAGGTGGCATTCAGCCAGAGGGATTAATAGCCGTAGTAATCCTGATAGGGTAGAATGACAAGAGTTTAAGGTGCAGTTATAGGGAGGAGGGTGACAAAAGAGAGATAGGAGAGATAGGTAGAAGCCCACCAGATTGAAGTCCTTTATCTAATATGGACAGTCCAGGATTATAATTTAGGAAGATATAGACAATCATGGTGTCCTTGAAAGCCTTAGAGAATTACTGTGTAGTTAGTTTTCCTGGATTATATTAGGAGTTAGGTATTTGACTTTTCCTTGAGGAACTGACTGTAAGAAAGACTATGAGGCTGGGCGCCTAACGCTTTGGGAGGCCGTGGCAGGTGGACTGCTTGAGCTCAGGCATTTGAGACCAGCCTGGGCAACGTGGTGAAACCCCATCTCAATAAGAAATGCAAAAATTAGCTGGGCATGGTGGCTCGCGTCTGTAGTCCCAGCTACCTGGGAGGCTGAGGCGCGAGGATCTCTTGATCCCAAGAGGTAGAGATTGCAGTGAGCCAAGATCGAGCCACTGCACTGCAGCATGGGCAACAGAGTGAGGCCCTGTCTCAAAAAATAAAATAAAGTAAAATAAAATAAAGTAAAATGATACTATGAAACCTTGTATCTGTTAATGGTAATGTTGAAGATATTTTCTATTACAACTCTGTTGCCTCAATAATGCTCCATCTAAGAAATTGCTTTTTTTTTCTCTGATACTGGGATGAGGGCGGGTGTCTCATCGTGTTGCTGGGGCTGGAGTGCAGTGGTGCAGTCACTGCTCACTGCAGCCTCAACTGCCCAGTCTCAAGCAGTTCTCTGACTTCAGCCTCCTGAGGAGCTGGCATTACAGGCGCACAACATCATACCCAACTAGTTATTTTGTTATTATTTGTAGAGACAAGGTCTCACTATGTTGCCTTGGCTAGTCTCGAATTTGTTGCCCCATGTGGTCTCGAATTCCTGGACTAAAGCAATCCTCCTGTCTTGGCCTCCTAAAGTGCTGGGATTATAGGTCCAAGCCACCATGCCCAACAGAAATTTCTTTTAAAGCTTAGTGTTAGGAATAAGGTTGCATCCAAGGGTTTGGTATGATTTCTTTCTCTGGCTAATGAGAATTGTACATACCTACTGTTTGTACAATTACTAGCACAACTGGTTAGCTTTAAACTTACTAGTTTATTTGCTATTTTATTTAATAAATTACTTAGTTATTTTTATTTAGAAACTTTTTTTTAATTTGAGGCAGGGTCTCTGTCATCCAGGCTGGAGTGCAGTGGTGTCACCCAGGCTGGAGTGGAGTGGTGTGAACATGACTCACTGCAGCCTTCACCTCCCTCGCTCTAGTGATCCTTCCACCTCAGCCTCTTGAGTAGCTGGGACCACAGGCATGTACCAGTACACCCAGCTAATTTTTTTGTTTGTTTTATTGTATATTTCCTTTAAGATAGTCTGCCGTCTTCCAAACATTTGCTTAAGTGAATAAAGTAAGTTTATTTAAATTATACTCAATTTTTTTTTAAACACAGACTCTTTTAAAAATATATAATTTAGCTGGGCATAGTGTGGCACTACTGTAACCCTAGAGGTTGAGGCAGGAGGATTGCTTGAGCCCAGGTTTGGAGGCTGTGAAGGCACCACCGCACTCTAGCCTGGGTGACAGAGTAAGACCCTGTCTATAAATATATATATGATTTAATACTTAATCCTTGAAACTAACACAGATTTGGTTTCTCTCCATACATTTCTACCTAGATGTTTGGTGGTGTTTTTGATGTAATAACTTGCCTTTTTAAAACTTAAGTATCTTTAGGAAATTGGCTTGGTCATTTCATCTCACTTTAAAGTTAACCAATTCAAAGCTTGTTCTTGATTACTTGAGGAACTTTAAAAACCGCAATTCATGCTAATCACCTAAATGATTCCTTTTACTTCAAAGATTTATACAATTCATATATATTTCTTAGACTATTCATAAGTCATAATAAGCTAAATATATTTTAAAGCTTTTAACCGTAAGTTAGGGTTTTCCTAGACAAAAATTAAATCTCTATTCTACCCAGTCTTATGAGAAAATTGAATATATTTCATACCTCACATTCATTTTTCTTTAAGTTGTCTTGGAAATGACTAGAAACACTACATAAAATGTATTTGTGTTAACATTTACAGAAAAGTTATGGTAATACTGGGTTAAGGTTAAACAGTTTTAATTGTAGAATTTCTTGGAGCCAGTAACAGAAGGAAGGAAAGATTGAACATGTACTCAGAGCTTGCAAAGGAGCAAGTGGGTGCTACTGAGCAGCATACCTGAAATGTATTGGACAAGGGATCACTTATTTCTGAGAACACTGAGTTGGTGAATAAGGAGCACACTTAGGAAAATTCCAAATATACTGCATTAAAGTCTGCTTCTTAAAATTGTTATTTTTCTCCAGTTGTCTCAGACCATGCATTCAGATTTCTTCCTTTAGTTCTCTGTTACAATTTAGTTAACATTTCTTTTTCTTTCTTTTTTTTTTTTTTTTGAGACAGAGTCTCACTCTGTTGCCCAGGCTGGAGTGTAGTGGCGCAATCTCCGCTCCATGCAACCACCACCTCCTGGGTTTAAGCGATTCTCCTGCCTCAGCCTCCCTAGTAGCTGGGATCACAGGCGCCTGCCACCACACCTGGCTAATTTTTATATTTTAGTAGAGACGGCCTTTCACCATGTTGGCCACCCTGGTCTCGAACTCATGACCGCAAGTGATCCACCTGTCTCAGCCTCCCAAAGTGCTGGGATTACAGGCGTGAGCAACCATGCTAGGCCTCTAGTTAACATTTCTTAAGTTGTTTTTCCTTGGTGAGGTATTAATTCTAATTGATAGCATGTAACAATTGAAAATTACTAAGATAGCCATGTGAGACAAGTCTTCATTTGTTGGACTTTCAGCCTAGTACTAATAGGAACAAAAAGTAACACAATAACTTTTGTACTTTGATAGTTTCCAAACTGTAATGCAGTTAAGCTATATTTATATAGGACATTAAGAAATTTATTTTGCTAACCTCAGTAAGTCTTACAATATGAAGAAATACAAAGATAAAGCCAACAGTACCTTCTTTACCAAAGTTGAGTGAGATGTTTATTTTTTCGTACTTCCCACAAACATATGTAGTCATACATTGCCCCCCTCCTTTTTTGAACAAAAATTGGATCATATGATACACATTAGGCAACTTTGTATTTTTACTTAATATCATGGACATTTTACATGTAACTTTAATTACTTGTAATTTTTGTACTGGCTCATTGTTTTAACTTTTTTCTGTTGTTGAGTTTGGCTTATTTTTTTAATTTTGTACCACCATATAAGTGGTGCTGCAGTAAATATCTTTATATAGTTAATTCATTTGTGTTGGTGCTGTTTGTTTAAGGTAAATTTCCAAAAGAGAAACTTCTGGGTCAAAATATTTTCTTTTTTTGCGGGGCAGGGAGAGGGGGGCTGTGCAGAGCGCAGGTAAGAGCTGTGGCCCCTGCTATGTTGCCTACGCTGGTCTTGAACTCCTGGACTCAAGTAATCCTCCTGCCTTGGCCAACCAAAGTGTTGGGATTATAGGCATGAGCCACTGTGCCCAGTCCAAAGAATTTTATATTGATTTTTAAACAAATAAACAAAAAGTTCAGTTTGATGTGTCATTAATACTCTAGAAAGCACTTGCATTTCAATTTCATTTATTACCTCACTTAATCTTTGCAACAGCCCTATGAGGGAGGCATTGTTGTTTCCATTTGCAAATGGACAAATGAGATCGAGTTCATTTAGCTAGTTAGTGGCCAACCTGGAACTGTATTCTTGGTCTTTTGATTCTGATTTCTGTTACACCATGATGACTGATACTAACAAAATTTTTTAGTTGGGAAACTTCTAGGGTGTTTGTGGATATATTCCTTAGCCATATGGTGATGTATGAGTGTTTCAACCCTATCTGCAGAGGGAAAGCATCACCTGGAGAGCCTAAAAAATACTAATAAAAATCCGCCTGTCTTGCTGCCCAGACTAATTCAAGCCAGCCTTGGGTAGGTGAAACCTGAGCAACTGTAGTTTATAAAATCCTCCTACCTGGACTCTGATGTGTGTTGTAAGTGTTTGAGAACTAGTGATCTCAAAATTGGGGTGCTCCCATCCCTGAGGGGTACCTGAAGAGTTTCCAGACTACATCTGTTAGTGCATTTAAGTCTTCTGGGAATCAGTTATCAGGTCCTCACCATATATGTACTGAGAAAGGTAGAACTCTGATCCATCCCACATCTTACTGTTGTGTATTTTACCCAGGTAGTTAAACTTTGGCACCAAAGAGTTAGCTTTCTTTTGTGATTAGTCCTATCTTACATTGCTGTTGGAGTGAAACGTAGCATTCTATAGAACTGGCATATTTTCACCTCCATTGGTATTTTCTGTATTCATATCAACAGTAGTCTTGGATGACAGGAGTAATGACAGATTTTTTTTTAAACCAGTTCACTTGTTCCTTCCCTAACCTGTTAAAGAATACATTACAAAGCAAAGGACAATACTAAAATACTTTGAAAGCTAGAAATATATAAATCATGTTTATCACAGCATACTGTCAAATATATTGGCTTTAAATTAAATGTATGATTTAGTTGGCCGTTTTTTTTTTTACATTGAGGAATTTATCAAGAGTAGGATAGAACTAATCTAGATGAAATGACATTTATAAATACTTATCCTGTGTTTTTCTTTTATTTATTATTTTTTGAGATGGAGTTTCACTCATCGCCCAGGCTGGAGTACAGTGGCACGATCTCGGCTCACATGATCTCGGCTCACTGTAACCTCCGCCTTTCAGGTTCAAGTGATTCTCCTGCTTCAGCCTCCCAAGAGGATGGGATTACAGGCGTGTGCCCCCACAGTTGGCTAAGTTTTATATTTTTAGTAGAGACAGGGTTTCACCATGTCTGCTAGGCTGGTCTTGAACTCCTGACCTCAGGTGGTCCACCCGCCTCGGCCTCCCAAAGTGCTGGGCTTACAGGCATGAGCCACCATGCCTGGCCTGCTTTTCTTTTTTCTTTTAAATCAGATGGTGAGAGAATATTTACATCTACAAACTGGGCTTTGCTTTTTAAAAACCTGATGTATTAAAAGTAAGGCTAAAGATATTTACTGTAGTAGGCATTGAGTGTACACGTACATTCTTTTATATTGCTTCTAAAATGGTTGGAAACTTACAAACAAGACTAAAATGAAAATATTTTTCTTTTAAGTGATGCTTCGTTTAGATGTTTTATTGTACTTTTTTTTTTTTTCTCTTGAGATGGGTTAACCCTGGTCATTTTCCCACTCCTGGTCTCAAGTGATTCTTGCCACCTCAATCTCCCAAGTAGCTGAGATTACAGATATGTACCACCTTGCATGCAGAATTACATAACTGTAATTTATTTGCAAGTCATGATACATATTCTGCATGTAAGTATATTTAGGAAAAATCTAGTCTTGCTCATACATTGTAGTAAACATTTTTTTTGAAATAAGCTATAGAAATAACTTATTTTTTAGTGCTTAGATGTGGCATATTATTAACTAATTTATTAAATATTTGGATCCTTCCATATATAAAGCCATTGATTTCCAAGTTAACATGACTATAAGAACTATGTAAGTGTGTGATTTTATCATGTATATATTTTAAATATTTCTAAAGATACAACTAGTGTGTGGAAAACATTCTAGGAGTTAAGAACTATAAAATGTAATGTAAAAATCATGCATATCCTTTTTCTAGGTGCGACCACTATTAATGGTTAAGTGTGACTTATGCTTGCATCCTGTTTTTACAAAACTAGGATGATAGGAGCATAGATTGGTTTTCACTTTGCCTTTTCATGTAATAACCTGGAATATTTGTATTATATCATTTCCCTTCCCTATTACTATATCCTTAGTATTCCTTTGACTTCCCTCATAACTAGTAGCATTTCATGGAACACTGGTATAACCAGAACAGTTGATGAGATTGTGTGGGATTTTTTTCTTTCCTAGTTCTGATTTAGAGAAGTTTTAAAATTTAGTGGGCAAGATGTATTAGTAATACTGCAACATACCAATTAAATTCTGTGGGAATTAAGAGAAGGATTGTTTGGGGTCAGCTTTAGGGAAAGCTGCATTTGAGCCAAACTTTGAGGAATTTGTGGGATTTGCGCATGAAGGGATAAGTGGTAAACAATTGTCCAGGTGTTTTTTTTGTTTTGTTTTTTGAGACAAGAGTCTTGCTCTGTCGCCCAGGCTGGAGTGCAGTGGTGCAGTCTCGGCTCACTGCAACCTCCGCCTCCTGGGTTCAAGCGATTCTCTTGCCTCAGCCTCCTGAGTAGCTGAGATTACAGGCACACGCTGCCATACCCGGCTAATTTTTGTGTTTGTAGTAGAGACAGGGTTTTACCATGTTGGCCAGGCTGGTCTCGAATTCCTGAGCTCAGGTGATCCACCTGCCTCAGCCTCCTAAAGTGCTGGGATTACAGGCGTGAGCCACCACGTCTTTTAGAGAGTAGCGTAATTGGCATTAGCTTGAGTGATGGCTTATGCTTGGTTGGTATGGGAAAGAGCATGGGCTTTTTGGAATTTTGATAGTATTATGTTCTCTACCATTTTAGTAGCTTTGTATATTAGGGTAGGGAAATTGTGGCCAGTTTTCCTATTTGCAAAGTAATGATGCAGTATTGACTTTGCTGGATTATAGTGAGAATTATATATAATGTGCCTGGTATAATCTGTGGCATAAAATGGGGTGCTCAATAAAATTTCTGTTGTTATTCTCTTTGGGGGAAGGTTAGCTGATTAAAAATTAGTCTCCAAAATTTGTACCCTTTTGGAAATCAGTTTTTGGGAAAATTTTTCATACGCTAGTCAAAAGTATGTTTGAGGAAGTAATAAGCCAAATTAAGTTCATATGAAGGCTTGGACCCTAAGTGAATTAAAAACTGCAGTTTATAAATGTTTTAAAAATATTTTTGTCTGAATTGTGTAACTGACCTTCAAGGCCCAGCTTAAATACCACCTGCTTTATGTGGCTTTCTGTCAGACTGCTATATGTATTTTATTAAACTTTATTTTTTTCTAACCACCTAGCCTTTTCATTTATTAAACTTTATTATGGAAGCTTTCAAACATGTAGAGAGAATAGTAAGTATTGTGAACCCTTGATAGCTACCGTCCTTGTTCAACATTGTGTGAAATCTTATTTATACCCATATTTTACTTTTTGAAGGAGTATTTCAAAGTAAATCCCAAACAATATGCCATTTCAAGCATAAATGCTTTTACTGATGAGGACTTACAAAAAACAAACCCAATCCTCTTGCTAGTATCATAACTAATAGAATTCCTTACTGTTATCTAATACTCATTCTATATTTGAGTTTCCCTGATTTTTCTCAAAAAAGTCTTTATAGTTGGTTTGTGAGAAGCAGGCTTACACAGTTTTTTTTTTGACATTTAGGCCTATACCACAGTCTGTGTAATCTGCTTCCCCCGCTTCAAAATTTTATGTCATAAATATGTATTTAGATCAGTAGTTTTATTATAATATTAGACAAATTGAAGCTTAGTGTTTTTTGAAGGCAGTTCTTCATATGTGGTGGTACTGTTTCATATTACATTATGAATCATATAATGTCTTACTCCACTATTAGGATGATGTCACATTTTAAATCACAGAAAATAATTTAGGAATACTAGGCCAGGTGTGGTGACTTATGCCTGTAATCCCAGCACTTTGGGAGGCCGAGGTGGAAGGATTACTTGAACTCACGAGTTCCAGATCAGCCTGGGCAACATGGTGAGACCCCGTCTGTACCACACACACACACACACACACACACACACACACACACACACACACACACACACAGATCAGCCTGGGCAACATGGTGAGACCCCGTCTGTAACACACACACACACACACACACACACACACAAATTAGCCAGGCCTGGTGGCACCTGTGGTCCCAGTTACTCAGAAGGCGGAGTTGGGAGGTTCCCTTGAGCCTGGGAGGTCAAGGCTGCAGTGAACCCTGATTACGTCACTGTGCTCCATCTTGGGCAACAGAGCAAGACCCTGTCTCTTTAAAAAAAAAAAAAATTATATCTTTAACTTTAGAACCACTTTTTAGGCCAGGCACATTGGCTCATTCCTGTAATGCTAGCATTTTGGGAGGCCAAGGCAAGGTGCAGATCACTTGAGTTCAGGAGTTCAAGACCAGCCTGGGCAACATGGCAAAACCCTGTCTCTACAAAAAATACAAAAATTAGTTGGGCATAGTGGTATGCATTTGTAGTCCCAGCTCCTTAGGATACTGAGTAGATGGATCACTAGCCCAGGAGGTCAAGGCTGTAGTGAGCCATAATCAATGCCACTGCACTCCATCCTGGGCAATAGTGAGACCCTGCCTCAAAAAAAAACAAACAAAAAAACAAAAAAACGCTTTTTGTGTTATGTAAACAGTTTTCTAAAGCTTGTCATCTTCATTTCCATCTAAATTATTTGACCTGCTTCTCTCAGACAATACCTAAAGCATCAAAACCCAGCATAGATTGAGGCTGTTTAGTGTGTAGATCTTATCTAAGTAGTATATTTTTCAAAATAAGGCAACTTTTCTTCAGCAGTATTTTGATTCTCCAAATAAGTCAGTTGAGAGGATGCCTTATAAGAGGAGAAACTTTTGTAAGGACCCAAATATATGGTGATTCCCCTTTCAGAGAATTTTAATGGAACAAAAATCTTATGTTTGCACATATATAGATTTGTCTAAATGATGGGGTTGGAATAAAACATTAAAAGATTTGAGCTTTGAGCTAATAGGGTCTTTGAAGGAGATTTTTGGCTTCTGTAAGTCTGTATGTTGACAACACTAATTTTTATGCCAAATTTCATTCAAAACATAAAACTTTACTTTTCCTTATTATAATTGAGTCAGTAATACTATTCTTTGTTATAGAGCTTTTTTGCCTTGCTAGTAAAGCCAGCAGAGGTAACTCCCCCATGAAAGTATTTGGACAAACTAGAAAACAGACTGTTGATTTAGCTCTTGGTTGACCCACTAGCTAAGTGACTTGTTCGTCACTGAAAAACTGTATGATTCAATTTATGCCCTCAGAAAAATAAGAAATTACCAAGAGTTGGTTTGAATAGTAGAAACTTTGTTAAATCTTTAAAGGCTAATGGTCTCCTATAAATACCTAAACCTGGATTTAGATTTACTTTTGTCATGTGAATGAGAAAAAGCATTGCTAAACAAAAAAAGTTTGTTGGCAGATTTGCAATAAAGTGATTTAATTTGCTGAGCAGAAGAAAGTATTCTTTAGGAATTCAGCACTTGTTTGTTTGCCGTAGATACCACGGATGTTCAATGATTATGTTCATTAAAATCAGTCCAGCTGGGTGCAGTGGCTCACACCTTTAATCCTAGCACTTTGAGGGGCTGAGGCAGGAGGGCTGCTTGAGCCCAGGAGTTTGAGACCAGCCTAGGCAACATAGGGAGACCCCTGTCTCTACAAAAAATACAAAAATTTGCTGGGGGTGGTGGCATGCACCTTTAGTCCCAGATACTCCCGGAGACTGAGGTGAGAGGATGCAGAGAGCTATGATTGCCCCACTGTACTCTAGCTTCGGTGATAGAGTGAGACCTTGTCTCAAAAAAAAACAAAACAGTCCAAGGAGGATGATTACGGAGAATATGTCCTAAGAAGCTTAAGTCACTCTGTGTATTGACTTATTTGTGACTCAACTAGGTTTTTATGTAATTTTGTTGTCTTTGTAATTGATGCAAAAGGAAGGTACAGTCTCCAGGCTGTAGATGACAGACTTGGAGAAGTAGTGCCTGTGTGAAGTTGCAATCATTAGTCATTTTGTGTTGGTAAATGTCTTCAGCAGTACAAAAAGTCTAAGCGAAAGCCTTGTTCATTGTCCTTATGTTAAAATAAGCATTGTATGTTAATATATGAAGATATGTAAATACTTAGTCACTATCCAGATACTAATTGATTTTATGATCGGAATTCACATTTCATAAAATATGGTTTTTTTCATTCATTAAATGTTGAACGTTTACATAGCTAAGACAGTCACTAATCCCTTTGACCCCAGAGGTTAATTTCTACTATGGTGTTAATTTATAATTACAAGATTATAAAAGTGTGATTAGTACCATGTGGCAGTAGAGTGCTTTAATACCATTTATTGTATCTCCAAATGCTTTCCCCACCCTGTTTTTAATGTAGGCATATGGTAAGAAATTGAACCAGATATCCAGGAAGAAATAATATTTTTAATTTAAAAAATTTTTTTGAGACAGAGTCTTGCTTTGTCACCCAATCTGGAGTGCAGTGGAGCGGACCATGGCTCACTGCAGTCTTGACCTCCCAGACTCAAGCAGTCTTCCCACCTCAGCCTCCTGAGTAGCTGGGACTACAGGTGCATGTCACCATGCCTGGCTAATTTTTTAAAAAAAAATTTTTTTTGTAGAAACAGGATGTATTTAAAAATGTCTGAGACTGGGTAATTTAGAAAGAAAAGAGGTTGAATTGTCTCATGGTTCTACAGGCTGTACAGAAAGCATAGTGGCTTCTACTTCTGGGGAGGCCTCGGGAAACTTAGAATCATGACAGAAGGTGAAGTGAAAGCAGGCACCTCTTACGTGGCTGTAGCAGGAGGAAGAGAGGGGAAGGTGTTACATACTTTTAAACAACTAGATCTTAGAAAAACTATCACAAGAGTAGCACTGAGGGGATGGCAATAATCCATTCATGAGAACTCCGCCCCCATGATCCAGTCACCCTCCACTAGGCCCCACCCCTAACACTGGGGTTTACGTTTTGACATGAGATTTGGGTGGGGACACAGATCCAAACCATATCTCAGGGTCTCGCTATGTTGCAAGGGCTGGTCTTGAACTCCTGGGCTCAAGTGATCTTTCTATATTGGCCTCCCAAAGTGCTGAGATTACAGGCGTGAACCATCATGCCTAGCCAAAACAAATACTTTTAATAATGTAAATGTCCTATATTAATGCATTTTCTTGCTTCTTTACACAAGATATTTGTCAATTTTTTGGCTTTTGTTTTTGTTGTTGTTGTTGTTGCTTTTCTTTTTTTGAGACAGGGTCTTACTGTGGCCATGGCTCACTGCACCCTCAACCTCCTGGGCTCAAGCGATCCTCTCATCTCAGCCTCTCGGGTAGCTGAGACCACAGGTGTGCACCATAATGCCCAGCTAATTTTTTAATTTTTTGTAGAGCTAGGTCTCCCTATGTTGCCAAGGATGGTCTTGAATTCCTGGCCTCAAGCGATCCTCCCACCATAGCCTCAATAATGTGTTAGGATTACAGGCATGAGCCACTGTGCTCAGTTGTTGACATTTTGGATTATGCACTAGTAAATAGGAAAACTATCACTGAGCTAAATCAAGTTGTTATTTGAATGCTTCACCTGTTTTTCCTCACATCATTAGTAATAATCTGCCTACTGAAAAATTAGCTAATATTGTTAAAATTTAGAATGAGCAAAATAAGATACTGTCATTTCTTTTCTTTTGCTAGGAAACAGTCATAACCTCAAAAATGACTTTTTAATTCAAATATAAGATTATACTGGGTCTTGGCCAAAGAAAAGTTTCTGTCGTATATTTCTGTGTTGGTAAGTTCTCATTATTTATTAAAGAAAATAATATTGGAGATTTGAGCCTTAATAATGCAGACAAAAAAAATTGAAGATAGAATTTATACCCCAAGCAGTACATGGTGCCATACTCCTGAATACATTTTTTTCAAATAAACAGTGAAATAGTATATAACCAGTTGCTAGTAGGTCCTATTGCTTGTTAGAAAAGATCTTTCCTCCCTAAGATTTAATCATTCGGATAAAGTCACTAAATTTATGTCCAAATTCCAACTTTTTTATTACCATCAGATGACACCAGCATTTGTAGCTGTTTAAGAGACAGCAGATTGACATACTTTAGAAATTTTGGAGTCCCACTTAGTAGCATATGGGCAACTGTCTCCCCATCTCTTCAACTTTATTATAGTTTATATGGATATGGTATTGCCTGAGAGTTGGAAAAGTTATTTGTCTCCCATTGTCTTGCCCAATTTCTCCTTCATTCTCTTTCTCGTAATTGAAATAAACAGTAACACCCTAAACTGAAAAGCTGAGCTTAAGTTGTGCTGATGGGGGTGGGTTTTTTTTTTTTTTAAGTCTTTTTACTCTACTACCCTGATTATTGAAAGATAATAAAATTACCTCCATTTAGATATGATCTGAAACCCCCATTCGTTTAAACACACACACACACACACACACACACACACACACACACACTCTAGTAGTATAAGTGAAAAAGTTGAAAGCAAAGCCCTAATGCTTAACTTTCAGTATACTCATATTTGGAAGTGGATTTTGTGTATTTGAGTTTTGGGGAGCAGTCAAGAGAGAAAGTGAATGAGAGCAGAGGTCTGCAAACTATGGCCTGCAGGCCAAATCTGACCCATCACCTGTTTTTGCATGGCCTGCTCTATGGGAATGGCTTTTACATTTTTTGATTGTTGGAAAAAATTTTAAAAGAATAATTTGTGATACATGAAAACCACGTGAAACTCAAATTTTACAGTTTATCAAGTTTTATTGGGACATATCTGTGCTCATTCATTTTGGTATTGTCTATAGGTGCTTTCGTGCTACAGAGGCGTAGTTGAGTAGCTGCAGCAGAGATCATATGGCCTGCAAAGCCTAAAATGTTGACTCCTACACTAGGGGTATGATTTATCCCAACAGTAAGAATGGATTCAAAGAGCTAAGAGACCTCTCAAAATTATCCAGAGGTTCTTTAACTTATGTGACCTCATCTATTTGGACCACTGATAAAAACCTGAAAGTAAGCAAAAAAGGTAAAGCTCTAGTGCTTACTTTGACTCTTGAGAAAAATTCATGTCTACTACTGATAGTTTTTTTTTCCTTTTCTTTTCTTTCTTTCTTTTTTTTTTTTTTCTGCTTTCGATACTGGTTTTAACAGTTTATTGGGTTTGCCCTTTCCCCACATTGACTACCTTCTTGGTAACCATGGCTCATAGATTAGAAGTACTTAATCTTGTCTCTGCATAATTTTTCTCTTGGGAGGACAGCTTTAAGGCTACTGGCCGAAGCTCAGTCACTGAAATCTGAGGTTGGTCTTGTATTAAGGTCTGACCTAGCACTTTATTTTAGCTATTAGGATAACAGTAACCAAGGGATTGAATATTTCTCCTTAAAATTAGTTTGCATTTTCTTAGACATTTACTTTGTGAGAGTTAGGTCCATCTTTAAATTCCATTGGTAACGTTTAGTAACTGAGCACATACAGTGAGTGACCACATGGCCACCAAGGAATCAAAAGTTTCTCATCCCCTACCCTTTCGTTCCTTCTATTCCCATTTCTCATCCCCTACCCTTTCATTCTTTCTATTCCCAAACAACGCGTGTGGTTTTTTTTTTTTCCTCTCCCCAAGTTGTCTGAACCAAACCACGTTTCTGTGTGCCAGGGCTGTGTTAGCAAATCCCACTTCTGACACCAAATGTAAGGCTATAGGATATAAATACAGTTTATCCTACTGTACCCTTACAACACAGAACACTTCTATGATCCCACATGTATTGCTTGATATGCTGTATCAAGCAATCAGTCCTGCAGCAAATTCTCCAGTGGACACCAGCTGGGCGTCGTCTAACTCATTTCTGACCCTATCTCCCTGGAGAGAGCATCAGCTCTCACACACAGATTGAGGGCTTGGGCCAATAAGACTTCCTCCCTACTTCAGATGCCAGTTGCAAGTCGTAGGTTGTCACATAGACTTCTCACTGACCAGCTGTAAATCAGGTGTTCCTCTGACCTTCTTTGGTCAATTAATTTGCTAGAACAGTTCACAGAACTCAGGGAAGCACATTACTTAAATTTACCCATTTATTATAAAGGATATTACAAAGAATACCGTTGAGAATAGCCAGATGGAAGAGATGCATTAGGATGATGTATGGGAGAATGGGGCAGGCCACTCTCCAGGAACCTCCAAGAGTTCAGCTATCTGTAAGCTCCCAGAACTCAGATCTTTTGGAATTTTGCAGAAGTCTCACCTCATTACATAGGCATTAAAATCTTCGTGATCAACTAAGTTTTCAGTCCATCTCTGGAAGCAGGAGGGGGAACTGAAAGTTCAAACTCTCTAATCAAAAGGATGGTTCCCCTGGCAACCAGCCCCCAGTCAGTCAGCTCATTAGCATGCAGAAGACACTCATCACTCCAGTGATTCCAGGGGTTTTAGGAGCTTTTTGCCAGGACATGGACAAAGGCCAAAAATACGTTTTACAGTATTACATTTTCAGCCTTTATTCTAAGGTGATATTTTCCGCAGGTGTAAAAGTCTGGATTGGCACTCCTTTCAGCACTTTAAAATCTTGTCCTGTATGTTCTGGGCCCCATTATTTCTGGTCCAAGTTAGCAGTCATTCATACATCATTGTTCCTCTTTATGTAATATGTTGTTTTTTTTTCTGGCAATCTTCAGGACTTTTTCTCTTTGATTTTCAGGGTTTTTATAATGACTGTAAGTGTGGAATTTTTTTTTTCTTATTTATCTTTCCTCTGGTGTCCATGGGGCTTCTTGAATCTGTAGATTTGACTCTCACTAAATTTGGGGGAATTTCTGGCCATTGTTTCTTCAATATTTTTACCATCCTGTTCATTCCTGGAACTCCAGTTACATGTAAGTTACACTTTTTGGTATTGTTCCTGTGAAAATTATACACATTAGGTCATTCTTGTAACACCCAACTAAATCAGAATCTAGGGTCCAGGGGAAAAAGGCACTTGAGCACTTAACATCTGATCCAAAAATTAAATTTTCAGCAAGCCCAGCTGTAGAAATGGCCCGCTGTAACCCTAAGACCCGTTTTACCTAGTAGCAGTGGAAACAACTCGCCACTGCTCTGAGACCAGCTTCTTCTAGTCAGAGCTTGCCATTTCTCAAAAGCTGCTCTAGTACCAATCTGTCAGAACAGTCTGTAACGTTTCTCTAATAACTTCCAGCCTTCTCTTTGTTCTTCAGACATACCCAAGACCGTCCAGTCTGTATATATATGCTCCAAATTACATTATTTTCCTTTCTTTTTCTTTGTCTTTTCTTTTTTTTTTTTTTTTGAGATGAGGGGGCTCTCGTTCTATTACCCAGGCTGGAGTGCAGTGGTACGCTCATGGCTCATTGTAGCCTTCACTTCCTGGGCTCAAGTGATCCTCCCACCTCAGCCTCCCGAGTAGCTGTGGCTATAGGCATGCCCTACCGAAACAGGCTAATTTTTGTATTCTTTTTGTAGAGACATTGTTTTTACCATGTTGGTCATCCTATGACCAAATAGGACCATATGGAGAACATTAGATCTTATCTTTTTTTTTTTTTTTTTTGGAGACAGGGTCTTGCTCTGTCGCCCAGGCTGGAGTGCAATGGCACAATCATGGTTTACTGCTGTAGCCTTGACCTTCCAGGCTCAAGTGATATTCCCACCTCAGCCTCCTGAGTTGCTGGGACCACAGGCATGCACCAATGTGCCAAGCTAATTTTTAAATTTCTTGTAAAAATCGAGTGTCGCCATGTTGCCCAGGCTGGTCTCAATTCCTGGGCTCAAGTAATCCACCTGCCTCGGCTTCCCAAAGTGCTGGGATTATAGGCATGAGCCACCGCACCCAAATTAGATTCTTGCTTCCTAAATACAACATTTTCAATTTAGAGAGTCATCTTTGTTTTATTTGGCTTTGACATTTTATAGGTCACTGAAGCTCTGTTCATTTTTTTTCCACTATTTTCCTATTCTTCAAATTAGAAATCTTGTTGATATATTTTCAAGTTCACTGACCCTTTCTTTTGTTGTTTTATAATCTGCTAAGTGCATCCAGTGTAATTTTTAAATATTTTTTTCAGTTTTAGCATTGGTTATTTTTGTAGTTTTTCTTTCTCTGCTGAAATTTTGCATTTGTTCATTCCTTAGGAGCATATTTTTCTTTAAATCTTTGAACACAGCTATGGTAGTTGCTTTAGGATTGCTGTCTGCTAATTCTAACCTGGGTCGTCTTGGAGTGGTTATTAATTGACTTTTTCCTTTAGGTCACATTTTCCTTTTTTCTCACCTGTCTAGTAATTACAGATTATATTCCAGACTTCATGATTGATGTATTGAAGATGCTCTAGATTCTGTTGTTTCTTTGGCGAATGTGGAGGTTGTGTGTTTGTGTTTTTTTTGTTTGTTTGTTTTGAGACAGAGTCTCTCTGCGATGCCCAGGCTGGAGTGCAATGGCACGATTTTGGCTCATTGTAACCTCTGTCTCCCAGATTCAAGCAATTCTTCTGCCACCCGAATAGCTGGGACTACAAACGCGTGCCACCGCACCCAGCTAATTTTTTTGTATTTTTGGTAGAGACGGGGTTTCACCATGTTGGCCAGGCTGGTCTCAAACTCTTGACCTCAAGTGATCACCCACCTCGGTCTCCCAAAGTGCTGAGATTATAGTCGTGAGCCACCACACCTAGCCAAATGTTGGGTTTTGTTGGGACTCAGCCTCCAAATTTCTGTGACTTTTGTGGTGGTCAGCAGCAGAAATTTCTGCTCAATTCTTTTAGCCTTAATTGAGCTCCTTGGAGTCTGTCTCACATATGTGCAGTTCAGGCGTCATCTGAAAATCCCAGTGTAATTTATACACGGGACATGGCGTGTCCTCTCTGGGATTCCCTTTCTTACTTTCCAGCAGCTCTGGTTGCTCTAGACTGTGTCCTTTGGTTTCTTCAGGCCATTAAGGCTGGATTCTTAAAGGAATTTAAGGACCCTACTTCCACATCTAGGCCTTCCCTCGGGCAGAAATGCCATTTAAAAAAAACAAACAACCAAACAAAAAACCTTACTCTGTGCTACTCCTTTCTTTAAAGTATAGACTGTTCTCCAGTTTCTGGGCTTTAATTGTTTTTCATTGCCTTCACATAGTTGTTGGCACACAGAATAATTCAAGAACCCTTGACCTAATGTTTTTCTACAGGTTTTAAGGTAGATTGCTGTCATAAACTGGGAAAACCTGTCTTCCCTACAGAAATCAGTGCTTCCCTTTCTCAGATCATGCTAATATTAGTCATAGCAGCAATATAATATAAAAATAGTTGAAGAAGTCTGTTTAAACATTTCTTTGTACTAATTTTTGTTTTTGTTATTCAACAGGTTTGATCTGTGGATGAAATGAATCATGATTTTCAAGCTCTTGCATTAGAATCTCGGGGAATGGGAGAGGTAAATGTTTGCAAATACTAAGAACTTACACCTCACTTTATTTTGAGCCATTGTAACTTATTTTTTTTTTTTAACCATCTCCCTTCCTGGAAATAGTGGTCATATCTTCCAAACTATATGGAGGGGTTTAAATTTCAGATTGTACAATTCTGTTGTGATTTTTAGCTTTAAAAAAAAAGCTTTTAGCAGTAATTTTTAGTGTGATTATTTGTGTCTAGGTGATTTGATTGACTTGGTGAGATAATTTCTTATATTTTGGTAATGAACTATAATTAGCTTTGCTTGAAAAAAACTCTTTAGCCTTGTTCTGCTGTTTTATATATGTATGCTGTGTTTGCTTTAGCCATACTTGTTTTACTATTCTCCCTTCCAAAAATCTCTTGTTCACCCAAAACTGTTTACTTAACAAACTTCTAATCTTCTACAAGACTCGACTGGGATGTATCTATTGTCTAGTTGCTATCTGCCATAGAATTAAGCCCTTCATCTGGCTTCTAGTTCTTCATACAGACTTTTATTATATTGCTGGTTAGTTTGTTTTACACTTGTCTCCCCTGTAAATTATTAGCTTTGAATGCCTAGCATAGTAGGCACTTCGCATTTCTTAATGGATTTTATCATTCTCGTTAATCTATGATTTTCTTTGGAGCACCAAAGTTAACCTCATCATTATATATTTTAAGGCATCAAATACTTCATTTTTCATATAGCTAATGAATACTTAGAGAACTTTGATTATGGAAACTCTTGTGGTGACATCTGTATTTTGTCATGTTCTGTACTACTAACGTAGACTTTGATAATAGAAGATAACAGTGAACAGACCTAAGATGTGTAATTAACTGCTTGCTCCTGGAGATTATTTTACCTTGGTAGAATAGAGACCTTCATGAGACTCACTCCATCCAATGCTGTGCTCTTCAGATGCAGAAAAGAGTCCAAGTCTCTCCTTTGGGCCACAAGAGGGCACCCTGCAGCTAGCTAACCCTCCCCTTCTTCAGAACAGCGTTTTCCAAAGAGTATGTCATTTTCAGAGGACTGATTTAAGGGTGAGTTAAGGTGCTTAAGCTTAAGTATTGCCAAAATAAATTTGTTAGACCAGTGCATAAGGTAAAATTCTCAACCCTAAGAAAAATTGAAGAAATTGAATTTTTTTTGTAAACAAAATCTGTAGCTTCACTGCAGTGCAATATCTGGTTAGGCATTATTTATGCTATTGGCAAATAAGAGGCAGATGAAAAGGGCTTTTGTTCTTTCCTGGCCACTACTTTTCTTTGCTCTTTAAAAAGCAGAATAACATATATTAAAAGCAGGGTTGAACAGTGCTTCAACCTTCTTGTCTATGACAAACTTGAACTTGCTGATAATTCTTTAAGAGCAAGAGAGTCAGGCTGGGCACAGTGGCTCACACCTGTAATCCCAGCACTTTGGGAGTCCAAGGTGGGCGGATCACAAGGTCAGGAGATAGAGACCATCCTGGCTAATACGGTGAAACCCCGTCTCTACTAAAAATACAAAAAATTAGCCGGGCGTGGCGGCAGGCGCCTGTAGTCCCAGCTACTCGGGAGGCTGAGGCAGGAGAATGGCGTGAACCCGGGAGGCGGAGCTTGCAGTGAGCCGAGATTGCACCACTGCTCTCTGGCCTGGGGGACAAACCGAGACTCCGTCTCAAAAAAAAAAAAAAAGAACAAGAGAGTCATACTCCTACATTAATTTTAGACTCCCTTTATCACTTCTTAGATGTATATTGTATATATGTTTTCAAACTGGTGTTTTTTCACTCTTTCTAAATAATATTTAATAATTTTAAAGTTATCTTTGCAGATCAAAAAAATGTCATGATCTGAAACAGTGGTTGAAAGGGTTTAGTTATTTGGGGGAAAGAGTAGCTGGGTTGAATGGTATGTTAAAAGAAAAAAGCTTAAATCCAGACTTCCTTATTGGACATGTCAGATATGGAGAGTAAAAGTGACCACGGTTTCCTGCTACCTGGTGGATAGCAGCATGTCAGTGTATCTGTAACCTTCATCCAGTAAAAATATATTTTAAGATGCTCTCATTAGTTTATTTCTTAACAGTTTAAGCACTAACACTGTCACCTCAAAAAGATAGCTAAGAAAAACCTACTGAGATTTCTGTCTCTGGGTTCTCTCTCCCACAAGCCTTTCTATCTTTCCTCATCTCACAGGCAGCAAGGAACCTTCTGGGATTTCCTTCTTTGCCTCTCTCTCTCACCAGTCTTCTCCTCCTTTCCTGACAGGTGAGGTTTTTTTGTTTTTGTTATATCCCAGAATTCATTCATTGGAATAAATTAAAAGCAGCCTTGAGTTTCTGGCTCTTAAGTTTTCTAAAAATGCTTTTTTTTTTTTTTAATGCAAAACGGTTTTTAAAATAGATTACCCTTGTCTTGACTTTCTTTAAAAATAGTTTTTGCTTACTGTTGTCTTAAGTGTTGTAAATCTCTAATGTACAAAGTGTTACATCTACATGTAGGACTAATTTCAAATTTACTGTGTTTTGTAGATCATGATGTCTTTACTGAGCCATCATCAGAAGGCATCCACAAATAAGAGATTTGTATTCACCTATTCATAAACTTACCCTCTCTGTTTTTACACTGATAGCATGTTTCTGTCGAAAGACCTACTGATTTGCATTATGTCATGTGGCTTAAAAAGAGCAAAACTAATCTATAGGAGATTGAACTCTGCTTTATTAGTGTAGTGTTAAGTCAGACACACTGCATAGGCTCATACCTATTAGCTTCTCTAGGTTGTTGGGGCACATATAGCTGGGTTTCTGCTTATTTTTTAAATAACAGGAAAGAGGGCCCTGTCTGAAATTCTTCAGAAAATCCAGAATCTAACTTTAAATCACTGAATTAATATCTTTTATTTTGAGAATATCTTTATAGCTTAGTATGATAAGCAGTGCTCTCTCCTGTCTTTCCAACACAATAATATATAAAGAAAGCATTAAAGAAAGCCTGTGTACTAAGATTCTATGTAGTGTGGTGAAGTGGAAGACTTACTAGGTAGGGGAGGAAGGAGACTTGTGTTTTCTCCTAGATCTCTCCCTAGTGTTATGACCTTGAGTAAGACTGACTGACTTTAAAAATAATAATAAGAATAACCTTTTGTATGAATCACATGTATCTCTGAAATGCTCTTGCTTTAATATAAGCTCTTAGGGATAACTGGAATGGAAACCAGCCATTTCAAATAGTGTTTAAATAGCTGGTCATAGTTTGTCTAGATAATCTCTATCTTAATTCTATCTTAAACTTTACCCACTGTAATAGGAAGACTATCATGATAATATTTTAAGCATTTTTATTTTTTCCTTATTCCCAGTGGTGATCTGATACTGGATTTTTTTTTTTTTTTTTTTTTTTTTTTTTTGCTAGTCCGTATCTCTAGAATAATACTCAAAATTTTCAGAAATCATGATGAATTAAAATATGATTGAAAAGAACTCTTTTATGGTAGTTAAATGTGAAGAGAAGGGTCTTAGAATTAAGTAGATATGGGTTCAGATCCCCTTGTTAACATTTACCAGCTTATGTGTAACCTTGGTCAGTTTTCCTTATGCAGAATGTGACTGTAGTAGTAAACTGTTCTTCCTAAGTAGTGGGTTTTCATCATCCCGCTAGGATAGTCAAACTGACTCAAGAGAAGTCAAACAGCTATGGACAAAATCGTTAAAGTGAATAATATAATATTTGAAATCAGTTGAATGTTGTGGGTCAGTAAGTTAAGTCATGTTTGATAACAGTAAAGGATTCATACTGTTGGTAGTGAAGATACCTAATATTTATGTGTCTGCTGTGTACTATATGCCATTCTTTTTTTTTTTTTTTTTTGAGATGGAGTCTCGCTCTGTCGCCTAGGCTGGAGTGCAGTGGCGCAATCTTGGCTCACTGCAATCTCCACCTCCCAGGTTCGAGTTATTCTCCTGCCTCAGCCTCCCGAGTAGCTGGGACCGCAGGCGTGTGCCACTACGCCTGGCTAATTTTTTGTATTTTTAGTAGAGACAGAGTTTCACAGTGTTAGCCAGGATGATCTCAATTTCCTGACCTCGTGGTCCGCCCACTTCGGCCTCCCAAAGTGCTAGGATTACAGACGTGAGCCACCGCACCTGGCCCTAGATGTAATTCCGTGCAGTTTATAGATGAGGAAACTGAAGCGCAGAAAAGGTTAATTAAAACTAGTCCAAGGCCACATAATAGTACTTGAAGAGCAGTTTGAACCCAGGGAAGTCTTGAGTGTTTACAGTACTACTTCTGTACAGTACTACTTCCTGTTGGAAGTGATGACATTTAGTAATGTTTGCTGTTGATACCAAGGATTTGAGAAAATGAAAGTGTTAATATCTTTCATTAACAGAAAAGATTAAAGTCTGGAAAAGCACCATTTTTGTGTTCTGTGGAGTTACTTTGTGTTTTGTTCTCTATGTTTCATTTGTTGTTGTTGTTGTTTGTTTTGTTTGTTTTTTGTTTTTTGTTTTGGAGGCAGGATCTTGCTCTGTGGCCCAAGCTGGAGTGCAGTGGCATTGTCTCAACTTACTGCAACCTCTGACCCTTGGCCTAAAGTGATCCTCCCACATCAGCCTCCCCAGTGTCTGGGACTGCAGGTGCACGCCACCACGCCTGGCTAATTTTTATATTTTTTGTAGAGACATTGTTTCGCCATGTTGCCCAGGCTGGTCTTCAACTCCTGAGCTCAAGCAGTCTGCCTGCCTCAGCTAATTATAGCTCGCTGCAGCCTTGACCTCCCAGGCTCATTCCATCCTCCCATCTCAGCCTCCTAAATAGCTGGGACTAGAGGTGCATGCCACCACACCCGGCTAATTTATTTTATATTTATTTATTTATAATTATTTTATTTTTTAAAAGAGACAGGGTCTCACAGTGTTGGCCAGGCTGGTCTCTAGCTCCTGGGCTCAAACTATCTTCTCACCTCCCTCAGTGCTGGGATTACAGGCATGAGTCTCTGCTCCCTGTTACAACTTAGTTTTGAGGATCTGTTCTTACCTCTTTTGAACTTCCATTATAAGTAGAGTGACTTTACATTCTGATTTGCCCAGGACAGCTCAGATCTATATCTTCTCATGGCATGATTATTAATAGCATCTTTTTTCACTAAAGTATCCCATTTGGGATGATAAATTATATAAATAATTTAAAACAATTTACATTTTAAATCCTTTTAAGTCTTGGGATTATGTTTATTTGGTTGGTTTAGGGGTTTTCCATAACAATTTAAAAAGTCTGAAGTATAGGTATACTCATGTAAATGCCTGAGTGGGAGTTTATTTTATTTTTTTTTTTGATGCAGCATGCCTGGGTGCTGATAGGTTTCTTTGGAAATGGGGAAAGCAAGCCATACATTTGAAGGAAAAGACACTGTATATTCCCTCAAACACTGGAGTTAGGATAGAAGAGCAGATTGATAAGAAACACTGAGTTGCCTGACCTTCTTTTAGAGTTTGTGAAGTAGGGAACTAATATGAAGTGGTATTGGATAACATATTTTATAGATCTTAACGGTTTCTTAATTTTGTTTTCTGTAATGTTGTATGGTTGCTCTTTCTACTACAGTAAAAGATTCTCCAGGGGCAAATCTCCTATTTTTATTGCTGTTCTAATCAATGCATTGTTTAACCTTTTTTTTTCCTCTTTAACTGTGTTCTATCCTGAATTGTTGCCTTCCCCTACATTTAGTTCACTTTAACCTATTATTAGTCACCAGCTAGTAGATCCCCTAAAAGTATTTGAGTCAGTATCTAAACTGTCAGAGCAAATAGTTTTTAGAATATCAGTGAAGGCCTTTGGTAGAGTGTTAATTTCAACTATTAAATTTTCCTGTGCATAAAAACTTCTAAATGTTCGAAAATGAAGGTACTCATAGTATAGTGCTTGGCCATAGTAGACACACTTGGTAAGTGGTTTACAGACTCCCCTCCCCCCCGCTTCCCAGCCCAGGTAAACAATTTGCGTTTTTTCTTTTTCTTTTTTCTTTTTTTGAGACAGAGTCTCGCTCTGTCGCCAGGCTGGAGTGCAGTGGCACGATCTCGGCTCACTGCAACCTCGGCCTCCCAGATTCAAGCAATTTTCTTGCCCAGCCTCCTGAGTAGCTGGGACTACAGGTGTGTGCTGCAATTTGCATTTTAAAGCATTTTGAAGGCACTCCCGGAACTTTAATCCCAAAAGACTTCAGAATAGTCTCAAAGGGGTGCTATTACTTTTACTACCTCATAAGATTAGTCTATTTTAGCCACTTCTTTGTCTGTGATAAATGCTTTATTAGTTATTACAACTTTAGATTACTTATTTGTTATTATTTTGATACTGAGACTTTTTTCTTCATGAAGTATGGGATAAAAGCATTGCTTTATTCTTTAAGGAATTATTTTCATCTGCTTGGAATGGCTTATACAGTATTTTTAAGGGATTAACTTGGGTTTTAACTGTGAATGTTCTATTATTTAAATATATCAAGTATGCTTTAGTATTCATATTACTAGATTTATGTTTTGTTGAATATTTACGTGAATCTTTTATGATGAGATTTTTAAAATAGAAGGAATACAAGTTATAGTTTACTTACTGGGATCTTTGTTAGAGCAGATTATTGTTTAAAATGTCTGCTCTTTATAAATACCAGTCATTTACAGCCCAGGGCCATCCTAGCATTTAAAAACTTTTTTTAAAAAAATGGAGTTTTTTTTTTAATTAAAACATTTAAACATTTTAATTAACATTTTTTAATTAAAACATTTAGTTTAGCAAAATATATGTAATTCAGGAACATGCTCAAATTGAATTTCTTCTCTTCCCTTTAAAGCTGCCTCTCCTGGTTTGTTGTTGTTTTCCTATTGTGGTCAATAGCAGTACCATTTACCTTTTTAGCTGTTTAAGTTATTAAACAGGTTATTCTTTTTAGTTATCTTCCCCACCATTTGTATTCAGATCCTTTTGACTCCAAGGTGTCTCAGATCCATTTTATTTTCTCAGCTTTCTCTGCTAGTACCCTCTTTTTTGTTTGTTTGTTTTTTGTTTTTTGAGACAGTCTCACTCTGTCACCCAGGCTGGAGTGCAGTGGCGCAACCTCCACCTCCTGGGTTCAAGCATTTCTCTGCCTCAGCCTCCCAGGTAGCTGGGATTACAGGCACTGGCAACCACGCCTGGCTAATTTTTGTATTTTTAGTAGAGACAAGGTTTCACCGTCTTGGCCAGGCTGGTCTTGAACTCCTGACCTCGTGATCCACCTGTCTAGGCCTCCCAAAGTGCTGGGATTACAGGTGTGAGCCACCTCTCCTGGCCCAGTACCCTCTTTTAGTTCTTGCTCTCTTGGCCCTCTTATTGTAAATTGCCAAAATTCATCTCCTTGTTCTTTCTATTTGTTATTCTTAAAACTTACAACTTGAGTTTTTTGTAGTACATAGTGTCACCCTTGCTAACTCTTCTCTATTCCCTGTTGCTTCAGTAGAGCATCTAACTTCCTTAGCATGTCTTTAAGGGTCTTCATAATCTGATCTGCCAGCATCTGTTAGCTTTGCTAGCATGAACTTTTGACCTTCCCACATGTTTCATCTTACACCCTATTCTACACACTGCATTTTCTCAAGTTTTGCGTTTATTAATGGTTTACTATGTCACACACACAAACACACACATCTTATCTCAGACCAATTTCAGGTATTACTGAGTTATATTTATTATAGTTTATATGTTTGTGAGCTCTCTAAAGGTGAGCAGACCATGCCCTTAAGAGGTAAACATATAGGTAATTGAGTGTGATAAGTTTAATAGAAGTATACACAGGTTTTATTGTTAGCACTGAAAAGACTGGACACCTACTTAAGAGTTGAGAGTGATGGTGTCTTATGAATGCTTCTTTAAAATGCTAAGTTCACTTCTCAGAAAACCAGTCTGTTCTTCTCAAACAAACATATCCAAGTTGGCCACCTCCTAAGCGACAGGGACAGTAGGGAGATATGAATGAATATTAAAGAATAAGAATTGTCCAAAATGTTCATTTTGAGTAATCAGTGAATGATTGTATCAACACAATTTTTATGTGCTATGCATGTCACAGTATAGGATAGAGCACAGGGCCTTGAGATTGTTTCTTTTCTATGCATGTTTTCTACCATCCATAGCTTTTTGTTATGGGTTTGACAGATAGTACTCAGCAGCTAGTAAGAGGTGTGAATTTCACTTCCATTGAATAACTGAGTTAAAAATGAAAAAGTATTTTCTATTCTAGAAGATATGATAGGAGGTGGTCTAGGGAGAGGACTTGGAAGTGAAGGGAAAAGTTCAGTCATTCCTATGGATGTGCTTATTAAATCTGTTACTGAGTAAGGAATTTAATAAGCCTTTTGAATAAATTTACATTGTAATAAAAATGTATGAAAAGTGAAGAAAAGTCAGAAGTAGATTTTGATTTTTGTTTAAGGTCTAGAATTACTAGCACCAGCACACAAAAATAAATGGGGAGTTAATTTACTATTAACAAAACAGCTTAGAAAATAGGTCACTCTGAATTTTCATTAGCATTGAAAACTAATGTATACATAGCAGTGATATGTTTGAGACTTCTTATATATTAATTCTTTGTAATTAGAATAAAATTTAACTGTAATTTTTCCTCCAAATAGCTTTTGCCTACCAAAAAGTTTTGGGAACCTGATGATTCAACAAAAGATGGACAAAAAGGCATATTTCTTGGGGATGATGAATGGAGAGAGACTGCATGGGGAGCTTCTCGTAAGTTACTGGTATATGTGTGAGAATTGTGAATATATTTAGCATTTTATAAGTCATAATGCACCTTTTTTTTTAGAGTGAGTCTCCAAATTTTTGCATTTTTTGTATAGTTTTGCGCTATTGCCCAGGCTGGTCTCAAATAACTGAGCTCATGCAATCCTCCTGCCTTGGCCTCCCAAAGTGCTGGGATGGTAGGCGTGAGCCACCACACCCAGCCCTATGCACATTTTCTTAATGGCAGCTAAGAAATGTAATTTTAGAAGTGTTTGTCACAGTAAGATTTTATCAAGGGTTTTTTTTTAATTGATTGTAAAATTCTGTGGCTATTATTAAAAAATAAGATGCTGGTGAGGTTGTGGTGAAAAAGGACCACTTATACACTACTAGTGGAAATGTAAATTAGTTCAGCCATTGTGGAAAGCATTGTGTCAATTCCTCAGAGAAGTAAAAACAGAATTACCATTCAATCCAGCAATCCCATTATTGGGTATATACCCCAAGGAATATAAATTGTGCTACCATAAGACACACACGTGTATGTTTGCAGCAGCATTATTCCATAATAGCAAAACCATGGAAAAACCTAAATGCCCATCAATACTAGGGTGGATAAAGAAAATGTGGTACATATGCACCATGGAACACTATGCAGCCATGAAAAAAAGATTGAGATAATGTCCTTTGCAGCAACATGGATGGGGCTGGAGACCATTACCTTTAGCGAACACAGGAACAGAAAACCAAATACTGAATGTTCTCACTTATGACGAGAACACAGGGACACAAAGAGGGGAACAACAGACATAGGGGCCTCCTTGAGGGTAGAGGGTGGGAGGAGGGAGAGGATCAGAAAAAATACCCATCAGGTACTTTTTTTAGTACCTGAGTAATGAAATAATCTGTACACCAAACCCCTGTGACATGAATTTACCTATATAACAAACCTGCACATGTACCCCCCCAATCTAGAATAAAAGTTTAAAAATAATAAAATTCTGTATTTTCATTTAAAATGGGGGATAGATTAATTTAACCATAGAAATTTTTAGTCTTAAATTGTACTAGGTGATCGTGACTGATTTATCTAATTGCAGCTCAGCCTAGCTTTATTAGATATTTGCCACACCCAGGAAGGAAGTAGACTGTCTTGGTAAGATAGAGCTCCCAGAAAGGGAGCAGATCTTTAAATGTTTTGATTTCAACTTCATAAGTAGTGGGGAGAGACTTAGGTCTAAGAAACTGTTAAGGGAAAATTAACTGGTGTATAAGGAGTATAACATGCAGGAGTGACAGTGTTGGCAAATTAAAGATCATAGTTAAATGCTTTTTTTTTTTCCTTTTTAAGAGGGTGTTGCTCTGTTGCCTAGGCTGGTGTGCAGTGGCATGATCTTAGCTCGCTGCAGTCTCAAGCTTTTGGGCTAAAAAGATCCTTCTGCCTCCTCTTCCTGAGTAGCTAGGACTACAGGCTCACACCATCACATCTGGCTAATTTTTTTTTTTTCCCCTGAGACAGAGTCTCGCTCTGTGGCCCAGGCTGGAGTGCAGTGGCCCAGTCTTGGCTCACTGCAACCTCCGCCTCCCAGGTTCAAGTGATTCTCCTGCCTCAGCCTCCTGAGTAGCTGGGATAATAGGTGCTCGCTACCACAGCCTGCTAATTTTCATATTTTTCGTAAAGATGGAGTTTCGCCATGTTAGCCAGGCTGGTCTCGAAATCTTACCTCAGGTGATCTGCCTGCCTCAGCCACCCAGAGTGCTGGGATTAGGGCATGAGCCACCATGCCTGGCCGTGTCTGGCTAATTTTTAAAACTTTCTTTTAGAGATGGGGGTCTCACTATGTTACCCAGGCTGGTCTCGGAACTTCTGCCCTCAAGTGATCCTCCTGCCTCAGGCGTGAGCCACCTTGTTCGGCCCATAGTTGTATTAAAGTAGTTAGCATATCATTTTACTGATTATATTTTAAAATGTTTCCAGTTAGTAAAATCTGAGAGGCGTACAGCTAGATCATATATTTTACAAATATTTTCTTTTTTTTTTTTTAAGTTAATACAGTTTGCTTAAGCTCTGCAGAATAACCAAAGTAATAATGAAAACAAATTTTTGGATGATAATTAGCCAGTTATCATTATTTTTCCAGTGTTAATCATGAGATATTTTCTTATTCTCTAAATCATTAAAATATATTAGAAGATTTAATGCTTCTATATAATGTTTAATTTCATTGTTAAAATAAAATAATTGCCAAAAAGCTAAAATCTAAAAGGTTAGGAAGTCTGGAAAATGTTGGTGATTTCAACAAAGTAGGTTGCAAATGTTGGCAACAAGTAATTTAGACAAAAATTTTCTTTAAACATTATAAATTTCCTTTGAGTTCAACTAATATGTGATACATAATATGCCAGGTTTGGAGAATATAAAGATAAATTATATGACCCTTGTCCTCAAGGAATTTTTGTTTTTCTGAATTAGAATTAACCTATATTAGGTTAGACTCATAATTTTAAATATTTAGTAATTTGGACTGGGATACATCTTCCCTACAAAAGGCATATTTCTTGCTGAGAGCATGTGTGCTTGGTAACTTGGTTGATGGACATGATTTGAAAGTTGAATGCACAGTTTATTTACCAGAATCAGAACCAATGATTTAAAAAAGTTTTTATCTTTGTTTTTTGGTTTGTTTTTTTTTTTTTTTTTTTTTTGAGACCAGGTTATAAGACTGGCTAATTTTTGTATTTTTGGTAGAGATGGGGTTTCACCATGTTGCCGAGGCTTGTCGCAAACCCCTGAGCTCAAACAATCCACCTGCCTCAGCCTCCCGAAGTGCTGGAATTAAAAGTATGCGCCACTATGCCCAGCCAACCAAAGATTTTTTGAGGTGTTGAAAAGCAAAGCATCTTGAGCACACCATGACAGAGAGATTATTTCAAGATGGATGATAGAGAAACCGTGAAATTTATTATTTCAGTCAATTTTTTGTACCACTCATCTCCCAACTCTCATAACATTTTGAAGATGAGTGTTTGTCTTTTACTAGAAACCATGAGAAAATTAGAAATGAATGGAATTTTGTTTACCTAACAAACATTTATTGAATGCCAGACACATAAAAATATGCATAACACCTTCTTGTTCTAAAGGAATTGTCATTCTAAGAGAGTCTCTTTCCATGACTGCAGGAGACTTGACATACTTCCTCTCAGCAGAACCACATTACTTGTGATTATCAGGTTCATCATGTTCTCCAGCACTTCTTGGCATTTGAACATGCCGGTTTCTGTAACTGAAATGTCCTATCACTCTCACCTCCCCATTGGTTACCTTTTTTTTAACCCTTATCAGCTGAAATATCACTTCCATCTGTAATTGCAGCACTTTAGGAGGTCAAGGCTGGCAGATACTTGAGGCCAGGAGTTTGAGACCAGCTGGGCAATATAGTGAGACCCTGCACCTTCCCACCAAAAAAAAAAAAAAAAAAGAAGCACACTTCCTTTGGTGGCATTGATTTGAAGACTTGGAAGGATTGATGCCCATCTTTCGTACTTTTGCTTTTTTTTTTTTTCCTTAAATTTTACTTTTTCCTTTAAGCTCTGTTAGACTTGAATGCCCATCTTTCAGATCTCATAGTATCATGGATTATATTTTTGTTAAAGCACTTTTTTCTATTCTAATTGCCTTTTATTAAACCTGTACTCTTGAGGACAAACTGTGTTGTTCTCGGATTCCTCATGTATAGCTCATTGCTTAGCATACAAGAGAATGAATCAATATTTCAACTGTGTAATGAACGGATACATGACTGAAAGAAAGGATATAATGACTAATCTCCTGGATGCACATACTGAAATGGAAATGTTTTGATTTGGTTTAACAAACCTGGCCATCATTTCAAAATTATTACAGTTAATAAAATGATAACTGGCTACCAGTATGACATTTCAGCCTCAATAGTTTAAATATTGAGTATTTATACCTGTCACAAACAAGTCAGAGGTAGCTGGTAGCTTACCGGTTCTTTCAAAAAAGTTTCCAGCAAAAACTATTTGAATGTTGCCTCAAATGTATTACTATATTTGCATTCCATTAACTCTCAGATCTTAAATACTACCTTTACTTTTCATTGCAAAAGTATGGAGAAAAAATATATCAAATGAATAATTTTGTTTTAAAATAAATTGAAAAATTTTAAGATAGAAGATAATTTAGTTTTTTTTTAACCAAGAATAGAAAATTCTGTGGTATTACTGATTTTTCTGGACTTACTCATTTGTGATTATAGCGTTATAGTCGTGAGTTCTGATCTATCCAGTGCGTAACTGTGAACTTGAGAAGTGTTTCTGCCAAATCGAAAGTTTATTTTATTTTATTGTTATTTTAATTTATTTATTTGCAGTGGGGAGCAGGGTCTCATGTCACCCAGGCTGGAGTGCAGTGGCACAATCACGGCTCACCAAAGCCTTGACCTCCCGGGCTCAGGTGATCCTTCCACCTCATCAACCTCCTTAGTAGCTGGGACTATAAGTGCCCGTCACCATGTCCAGCTAATTTTTGTATTCTTAGTAGAGATGAGGTTTCGCCTTTTTGCCCAGGCTGGTCTTGAACTCCTGAGGTCAAGCAGTCCACCCGCCTCAGTCTGTCAAAGTACTGGGATTACAGGAGTGAGTCACTGCCCCTGGCCTTTTTTTTTTTTTTTTTTTTTTTTTGAGACAGGATCTCACTCTGTCACCCAGAGTGGAGTACAGTGGTGTGAACATGGCTCACTGCAGCTTCAACCTCCTGAGTTCAAGTAATCTTCCCCCCTCAGCTCTCACCTCCTGAGTAGCTGGGACTACAGACCTGTGCTGCCATGCTTGGCTAATTTTTAAACTTTTTGTAGAGATGGGAACTCATCATGTTTCCCATGCTAGTCTCAAGCTCCTCTGCTCAAGTGATCCTCCTCAGCCTCCTGAAGTGCTGGGATAGCACGTATGAGCCCCTGCTGTCCAGCCTCTTCTAGGTTTTATCCCTGAAGGTTTATATTATGAATTGTTACGTTATAAATTGTCAAAAGGAGGTTAACTTTTTAAAATGATGTTTATAAGCAACTGATCCTTTAGGTAGTATCCTTTGCATACTATTTCTACCTTTATTGACCTTTTTGGTTGTACTGTTCTTAACATAGGTTTTTATATGTTTATTGCCAAATGGCGCTTTCCGTCTGTATTTTCAAGATGTGTGCTCCAGCCAGTTAGTCTCAACCAAAAGTTTTCTCCCAAATTCTGTAGGTTGCCTGTTCACTCTGATGATAGTTTATCTTGCTGTGTGGAAGCTCTTTAATTAGATCCCATTTGCCAATTTTGGCTTTTGTTGCCATTGCTTTTGGTGTTTTAGTCATGAAGTCCTTGCCCATTCCTATGTCCTGAATGGTATTGCCTAGGTTTCCTTCTAGGGTTTTTATGGTTTTAGGTCTTACATTTAAGTCTTTAATCCATCTTGAGTTAATTTTTGTATAAGGTATAAGGAAGGGATCCAGTTTCAGCTTTCTACATATGGCTAGCCAGTTTTCCCAGCATCATTTATTAAATAGGGAATCCTTTCCCCATTGCTTGTTTTTCTCAGGTTTGTCAAAGATCAGGTGGCTATAGATGTGTTATTTCTGAGGCCTCTGTTCTGTTCCGTTGATCTATATATCTGTTTTGGTACCAGTACCATGCTGTCTTGGTTACTGTAGCCTTGTAGTATAGTTTGAAATCAAGTAGCGTGATGTCTCCAACTTTGTTCTTTTTGCTTAGGATTGTCTTGGCTATGCGGACTCTTTTTTGGTTCCATATGAAATTTAAAGTAATTTTATCTAATTCTGTGAAGAAAGTCAGTGGTAGCTTGATGGGGATAGCATTGAATCTGTAAATTACCTTGGGTAGTATGGCCATTTTCATGATATTGATTATTCCTATCTATGAGCATGGAATGTTCTTCCATTTGTTTGTGTCCTATGAAGAGCTTTATATAAAGATTATAGTAATAACATTCAAAATAAAACAATGTGCTGATTTTTCTTACTTCAGTATATTAATTTAACTACATTTTGTTTAACTTAAAAGTATAAGTATATAATTGTGTTTTTTCTTCCAAACAGACCATTCAATGTCCCAGCCTATTATGGTACAGAGAAGATCTGGACAGGGTTTTCATGGAAACAGTGAAGTAAATGCAATACTGTCTCCGCGATCAGAAAGTGGAGGCCTTGGTGTGAGCATGGTAGAATATGTATTAAGTTCTTCTCCTGCTGATAAATTGGATTCTCGATTTAGGAAGGGAAATTTTGTAAGTATTTTGAATAAAGAAATATTTAATATTTGCTTGAGAGTTATTTGGTTACGTTACTTTTATTTTTAATTCAATTTGTTTTTCTGTGCCCTTCCTATAGCTAAGAGAAATTTTGTAACTATTATTGCTATTCTTCTGCTTAGCCACTTGAAAAACGTGAAATGATAGAACCATTGGAAATATGTATAATCTGAACCATGTTACAAAAGTCAAATCATACTAATTTTTAAACATAATCTGTAAAATTAAAATTGCTTATTCCTGGTAGTGCTTGATCTGAAAGTAACTAAACAAAATCGTCTACGCATTAAAGAAAATTTTAATCTAGTTTGTGGTGTTAACTGCTTTTCCAGCACCGCTATAGTTAAGGTTGCCTTAGCCCTTCTGTTATAAATCACTAGTTTGTACGCAATTTTTTGGCCTTTGATAAATTAATTGACTACGAAATTAAATAAGATTCAATGCTTTTATTGTTTACATGCACTGTAGTGTAGTGTTAGGTCACCTTATGGTGCCTTTTTTTTGTGTTCTATTAAATATTCAGAATCAAACAGATTCTTTTTCCTCAGGGCACTAGAGATGCTGAAACAGATGGACCTGAGAAAGGAGATCAAAAAGGCAAGGCTTCTCCATTTGAGGAGGACCAAAACAGAGATCTTAAACAAGGAGATGATGATGATTCTAAAATAAATGGCAGAGGTTTGCCAAATGGAATGGATGCCGATTGCAAAGATTTTAAGTAAGATTTTAACTTTCTCAAGAAGAAAAGCGTATCTTTTTAGGGATTATTACTATTAGTTGATGTGACTGATTTAGACATTTTCATCATTTAGGTTTATTTCCTTTGAACTTTGTGTTAATCTGGACAAATTTTAGTTTTTTACTATAAAGAAAATTTGTGATTATGAACCATTTTAAAAAAATAATCTTCAAACCAGCCTCTGAAACAGTGCATTCTGTTGAAGGAGTAATGTTAGAAGCTGTGCTTACTTTTCTGGTAATATAATAGTCTAAATTTGAACTTTTTCCTCTCTGTTAAATTTTAGTGAACTGTAGGTTTACTCTGATTTTTTTTTTTCCCCTCTTGGGAGTGCTTTTGAGCACCTTTCAGTGGAGTTTTCTTCCTTCTGAGTATATATGCCCTGCCTCCCATTTAACTTTTAAGAGGAGACAAAATTAGCTTAGGAGCAGTAATCTTTCTTAAAATATATGAGTTTGTGCTAATACTTAAGATTATTCCTGCAAATAGCAAATAGGGAACATATTAGAGACTTCTAAAAGTTAGCTTTAAGCTCATAATTTTTTACATTGTAGCCTTTTGTTGTCTTTTTATGGCAGTTAAATGAGTACTTTAGCCTTTGGTCTTAGATTAGACAGTATATATTTATCTATATATTAGGGAGTTGTTTCTTTGTATTGATTTTCTGTAGTATTTCAATAATGAGGTGCTTTGGAGCTTGTATCTGAAAATGAGTTGTTTCTTTGAGGTCTTATGACCATGGAATCTTACATAAAAAAGTATTAGGTATATGGTGGGTGGTATACTTTTACATTTATTGCCTTCAAAAGCAAAGTAACAATGCTTCTTAAAAACAGTGCCATTTCTATCTGTTCTGAGTGCAAAAAAGCATCCAAAACCAGTAAACCTCTTTTAACAAGAAATACATTTAATGCTATTCAGATTTAGAAATTTATTTCGAGTTTGTTCTTCACTATTACCTAATCTAAGTTTTAGTAAAGGAAATGCATGTAAAATTAAGTAGATGATAAACCCTTCAGAGTATACATTTATAATTGAAGTGTTAATACACCATTAACTATAGCAAGAAAATAGCACCACTGATAGCATTACTTTTTTTCCTAATGTCCTCTATTTTTGCTATATACGAGTTACTTTGTGTGAGAGGTTATACGTCTCCCCTGAAATATTAATGTGGACTTTACATTTATTAGCATTCTAATTTTATTCCATTAAGTTTTTAGGTATCTTTTAAATTACTAATTATTTTAGATACAGTATTAGTTACTACTTGACAGTATTAAAATGTGTTAACACAATCAACAGCTGTGGTCATACGGTCACTATGCCAGCACATCATTAATTTCTACATTAACTAATATGTCATCAATATATACATTATTGGAGTAGAACAGAAATGAGTAAAAGAACTATTGGACACTTATTTTTTAAAGAAAAATTGGCTGATTTTAAAGAAAATGCTTTTAGTTTTATCTTTTCATTCCATATGTTCCAAATGAAAAAAGAGCCTTTGGGATGTTCACGTACAAAATTAGGTGTGGCTTAAAGGGAAAGGAGTTTGAAATCTTCTGATTTTGCAAGGACAAAATGGTTGATGTTTAAGTGAGTGTAAGTTTGCTTACATATCTACAGAGAACAATTCTTGTAATCAAGAAATTGCTTTGTAAACTACTCTATATGTTAGCAAATTTATTCCAATTCAGACCACCTGAAGTTGGGAAGAGTTAGCTGTAGCAACTGGCATTAAAAGCCAGGTAGAACAGTTACTGCCATTTACTTAATGTACTCAAGTTTGAATATCCTGTGAATGCATAGTTACTCTGAACAATAAACTCTTTCTTACAAAGGAAAGGATCCTATATAAAACATTTATGTATAAGATAAGCTATAAATGAGGATTGATAATGGGCTAGAAATGTAAGTTTAGACCATGAAGGTGTTAATAAAAAGAGAAGCCAGTGCTTAAAATTTAGTCCAGTGTTAATGAATTCCTTGTGAAAATTAAGGAGGCTGTATAGTAGTAAGGTCCTTTTTTTTTTTTTTAATGTAGAAAGATCCTTTTCTTGCTGTGTATACTTAAGTTTTGATAAATGTCATACATTTCGATTTCTTTCTGATGGTTTCAGCTGAACTATTTGGTATAATAAGCATGGTCTTCGGAGGGCTTTCATAGTGGGCTTTCATAAATAGTTGCTTTTGTTCTTATTAGTTGGAATCAAAAGGTCATCTCTTAAGTCTCCTCAATAAGAAGACTGCAGCTTGAAAGATGACATGACTTGCTCAAAATCATATTTAAAAGACAAAGTCAGAAGTCAGCCTTTTGACTTATCATGTATAGTACTCTTTTCCTGTTGCATCCCACATTTTGGCCCCTTAAATAATGAAGACCATTATGATCTCTTATGGCCAGATTTTTTTCTTAAGTATTATTAAGCAGGATGTTATGGCAAAATTATGTGTTGGCAGGGCAGGACAGCAGTATGGTAAGTGGGTTTTGGTTTTGAGCTTTTTCATATTTGCCACTTAATAACCTGCTGTTAATACACTGTTCTTTGTGACTGTGACTTGAGACAGAGATTTCAGGTAGTATAAGCCTAAGTTGTGATACTGGCCAGTTTTTCTAATGTGTAAAATTGCATTATATCTTTATGTTATTCAGATTGAAGGGAGTAATCATTAATAATATTTTTAAAATCCTCAAATCATGCCAGCTGTTAAGAGGAAAGTTATATTAAATAGAAAAAAATGTGATAAGGTGGCATAGTGACCCAGAATGCCTTATTCATTGTGTTTTATGACCATTTGTTTTTCATGATTTTTCTATTTTCCCATTTCGCTATTTGACTTGTTACTTTTATTCATAATGCTTTTCTATTTTCTTTATGTAGTCGTACTCCTGGAAGTCGTCAAGCCTCTCCAACTGAAGTAGTTGAGCGCTTGGGCCCCAATACTAATCCCTCAGAAGGACTGGGGCCTCTTCCTAATCCTACAGCTAATAAACCACTTGTTGAAGAATTTTCAAATCCTGAAACTCAGAATCTGGATGCCATGGAACAAGTTGGTCTGGAATCCTTACAGTTTGACTATCCTGGTAATCAGGTACCAATGGACTCTTCAGGAGCTACTGTAGGCCTTTTTGACTACAATTCCCAGCAGCAGGTAAAAGCATGTTCTTTCTTTAAGAAGGTCCTCTTAACTGTATACTGGTTTAGCCTGAAGTGCTATGTGGCATTGAAAAGAATGGTAGGGGTTTTTGAGTACTAAATGTTTTATTGATTAAAGTGTCCTGTATTTGAGAAAGTCCTCCCAAAGAAAAAATGTTTAAAATGTTTTATTCAGATTTCTAATTAGAAATGAAAGATTTTGACACTAATCTTTGTGTTAAATATTTTCCCTAATAGCTCTTTCAGAGGACTAATGCACTAACAGTTCAACAGTTAACTGCAGCTCAACAGCAGCAATATGCATTAGCAGCAGCTCAGCAGCCACATATAGGTGAGTCTTCATACGTTCTCATTTTGACCAAAGTCTTGTTAAAATGTCTAGGATGTTTCACTTTTCGTTTACTGATTGGTGAGGTTTTGTTACTTTTTGAAACATCTGAGATCAACAAGTAATAGGTTGTATGACAAAGGTGTTTATTAACTAGGGAATTGTTTCTGATTATTATTTGCATCACTGGTTTAATTAAATAAAAATCTGTAATTCGATAAAAGTTATTATCACATAAGTTTTTCTCCAATGTGAAGTTGAGAAAGTCAGACACTTGGAAATTCAAATTTACTTGTGTCCATTATCAAGTCAGTATGTTCATTTACATTTTTTTGTAAAATATTTTTTTCCATGAAGTTATTTGGTCTTTGACTTTTAATCTGCTAGAATTCAAGCTTGGTACATGATGTTGTCTGTACTAGGTCTCCCCACTACCTCCCACAATAATAATATGGGAATAACTTCCCTATACCCTTTACCCAGTTCCCCCTAATGGCTACACTTAAATTATTACAGTACAGTATCAAAAACAGTAATATGATATTGATGCAGTATGTATGTATAGTTTTATTTTATTTTATCAGGTGTAGATTTGTGTAAACATTTTTATGCCTGTCTGATTTTGTCTAAGTTTGTATGAAGACTGTCAACATCAGAGTCTATGGAAGGGGGTTGTCTTTCCTTAATGTCATATTCTTCTGTGTTAGTGCAATAAGGCTTCCTAAGCCCTAATTTTTATTTTTCAGTTTTTTTGTTTGTTTATTTTGGAGAGAGAGTCTCACTCTCACCCAGGCTGGAGTACAGTGGGGCAATCTCGGCTCACTTCAGCCTCCGCCTTCTGGGTTCAAGAGATTCTCCTGCCTCAGCCTTCTGAGTAGCTGGGATCACAGGCGTCTGCCACCACATCTGGCTAATTTTTGTATTTTTAGTAGAGACGGGGGTTTTACCATGTTGGCCAGGCTGGTCTTGAACTCCGGATCTCAGGTGATCAGCCCCCCCTCGGCCTCCCAAAGTGCTGGGATTGCAGGTGTGAGCCACCGCGTCTGGCCTATTTTTTGTTTTCATCAAAAATGTCAGGCTGCACAGTGGCGCCATCCTGAAATCCCAGCACTTTGGGAGGCTGAGGCAGGTGGATCACCTGAGGTCAGGAGTTTGAGACCATCCTGGCCAACATGGTGAAACCCCGTCTCTACAAAATTACAAAAATTAGCTGGGCTTAGCAGTGGGGGTCTGTAATCCCGTCTACTTGGGTGTCTGAGGCAGAGAATCGCTTGAACCTGGGAGACGGAGGCTGCAGTGAAGCAAGATTGCACCACTGCACTCCAGCCTGGGTGACAGAGAGAGACTCCGCTCAAGAAAAAAAAAAAAAAAAAAAAGTCCACATTTATAGGTGAGTGCCAGTCGCAGCATGTACTCTGGCCCCGTTTCTTTCCTCTTTTTGCCTCTCTTTCCTTTTTTCCCCACCCGCTTTATCCCTTGTTTGTCCTCTTATGTTAGAAATGTACTGCTACCTGTCTATTCATGGACAGCACAACGGTTTTTATTTCTCGAGGCTTTATATTATTAGGCAGGCTAATACATCTATTACTCTTCTTTTTTGGGGTTTTAAGTTTTTGGTTCTTGCTTATTTGCTTTTTTGTATGAACTTCAAAATTAGCTTATCTACTTCCAGAAGATAGGATTAAATGTTGTAATTTACTTAGGGAAATTTGACATCTTTATGCCATCAAGCATCAGGTTTTTTTTGTTGTTATTGTTTTTGTTGTTGTTTCTTTGACAAGGAGGTCTTGTTGTTTGACCCAGGCTGGAGTGCAGTGGTGCAGTCTTGGCTCACTGCAACTGCTGCCTCCCAGGCTCAAGTGATCCTCTCGCCGCAGCCTCCCGAGTAGCTGGGACCACAGGTGCACGCCACCACACCTGGCAAATTTTTTGTAGAGACAGGGTTTCACCATGTTGCCCAGGCTGGTCCTGAGCTCAAGTGATCCACCCACCTCGGCCTTCCAAAGTGCTGGGATTACAGGCGTGAGCCACCGTGCCCTGCTGACATCAAGTATTCTTGTCCAGGGTGTGATGTGTCTTTATTTTTGTTCAAGTTTACTGTAGTGTCATTTGAGTGCTTTAAAATTTTTCTCATAGGGGTTTGCATATTTCATTCTAAGTTTATTTTATGTATTTTATGTTTTGTTATTGTAAATGGCTTTCTTCCTGTCTTTCATTGTAGCTTTAAAGTGTTATCTATGAAAACTCAAGTACCATATATCAGATTTCATGAATGATATTTTAAAATAGTTGAATCGTCTTCCCATTCTTGGAATAAAAAAGACTTGTATATAATAATTATTTCTTTTAACATACTCTTTCAATTTGCTAGTATTTCATTTAGGATTTTTGCATCTATATAGTTAGATGAAATTAGTCTCTGTGTATCTGCAGTTTTTTCACGTTTTTTAGTGTCAGCATTCTTGCTTCACAAAAATAATTTTAGATACGTCTTTTTTTTTTTTTTTTTTTTTTTTTCGAAGACAGGGTCTTACTCTGTCACCCAGACTGGAGTGCAGTGGTACAGCCTCAGCTTCCCAGGCTGAAGCAATCCTTTCATCTCAGCCTCCCACATAGCTTGGGACTATAGGCTCGAGCCATGATGCCCAGTGAATTTTTTGTAGAGACGGGGATTCACCCTATTGTCCAGGCTGGTCTCGAACTCCTGGGCTCAAGTAATCCACCTGACTCAGCCTCCCAAAGTGCTGGGATTATAGACATGAGCCACTGCGCCCAGCCATTTCTTTCTTATTTTAATGCCTTAGAGTATTTTAATAATATTGGACTTACGTAATCTTTAAAGATGTGGCAGAACTTTCATGTGTGAGAAACCTAATATAAATAAATTTGAAAACCTAGAAAGCATAGTGTATCAAAATTGACCCCACATTTTAACTCAATTCCACAGTTAAGCAAATTCATTATTGACAATCTTTTTTATCCAAATTTGCCTGGTCACCTCTTAGCTGGCCAATAGCTCATTTAGAAAAGGACTAGTCGATAGAAATATGTATAATATGTACCATATAATTTGCAGTTATTTAGTAATCACATTTTTAAAAATTAAAAAATAGGTGAAATTAATTTGAATATTTTATTTAGCTCATATCCAAAATATTGCAAAATGTAGTCAATATGGAACTTACTAATGAGAATTTTTGCATTCTTTTCTTTATATTGTTTTTGAAATATAGCTGATCTCAAGTCAGCTTTGAATATAGCTGATCTCAAACTAGTCACATTTTAAATGCACAGTGACTATATGTGGAAAATTTTTAGAGTGTGAGTTGACAAATGTCTTCTGTACAAAAGGCTGTTGAATATTTAAAGCTTTGCATACCATATGGGTTTGGTCACGACCACTCCACTGTGCTGGTAAAGCATGAAAATGGTTATTAGATGATGCATAAATATTGCTATGTTCCAGTAAAACTTTACTTATGGGTGCTGAAATAGGAATTTCAAATAATTTTCATGTGTTTGAATTTTATTTTTTTGAACCATTTAAAAATATTAAAACTATTCTTAGCTAGTTTGTACAAAAATAGGTAAGACGCAGGCTTAACCCATGTACTTGGCCAGACAGAAATAATAGATAGGATAGAATGAAAACAAAAAGACAGGGTTATGTAGTTGGTTGGAGAGTTCCTAGAGTACAAGGAGTTGAGGGAGAATCCATAGGGGGGTAAATTGGGAATAAAGCCAGGTGACCTACAGATGGCTAGAAGAGGAATAAACAAACAAAAAGGGGCCTATGCAGTTCAGGCTTTGGGGGTTGAGTTGTAGTAACCATGTAAGAGCTCCCCCAGCTACTAATAAAAGACCTGGTTTGGAGATTTGACCCTATAGTATGTAGTTTAGGCAATAATTCTGATACCACATAATGAACAAGTGAGTGCAAGAGAAACTCTCATGTAAGATAATGTTTCAAACAAAAATGACAGTACAAAGAAGGATCAGCCAGAAAACATGTCGCAGAGTTCTAAGTTATGGAAGGGAACTTTAAAGTTGTGCAAAGAATGTAAGAGTATTTTCAGAACCTTAAGAGATAAAGGGTGTGAGCCATCAGAGATTATCAGAAGTCTTAAAACAACAGATTGCTGTGAAAAGGAGCCATTTCATGGTCTTGTAAATAAGTCATTGAAAAAATAGTTCTAGGTGAGCTGCATAATTGGCTATCACCTACCGCTAAATGAATTAGGATATAAAACGTAGATGGTCGCCCAGAACACTGAAATTCCCTATGGTAATCAAGACATGGGAAATGTAAAGGAGAAATGAAAAGCTATGGAATGAGTTAGGGAGTAAGTAAGGATGTACAAAGCATTTGTAAAGAAAACTGTAAACTTTTCCAGAAGTCTTGAATAAATGGAGACGTGATTTTTCTGGGCAAAACTCAGCATTATAAAAATGTCAGTTCTCCCTAAATTAATGTGTGTATTAAATATACTCTTGGTCAGAATCCCAGCAGGTTTTTTTTTCTCTTTTGAAAAAAAAAAAAAAAAACTTGAAAGCTTGATTTTGATGTTTGTCTCAGAAAAGTAAATGGTACTTTTCTGTCACCCAGGCATAGAGTGCAGTGGCCTATGGCTAATTGCAGCCTCGACCTCCCAGGCTCAAGCAGTGCTCCCAGAAAAACCAGAAAATTAATGGAAAACTAAAATTAAAGCGGAGGAGGAGGACTTGCTCAACCATATTGTTTCCGAGCAGAAGCACTCACTGCCTGATGCAGTAGAAGCCAATGCTATGGCACCAGGTTTTTGAGAAAAGAAAAGCTTTTTTTGTAGGTCAACCAACAAGGAGACAGGAATCCAGCTCAAGTCTATCTCCCTGTGCTGGCTTTAAGGGAGTAATTTTTATTAGAAAGGCCTTAGGGGATGGATTTTGAGATTATTAAGTAATTGGTGGAAGAAAAGGGGAGGCCTGGGAAGTCCTCAGCATGCACAGCTATCTCTTCATGCCACCTGATGGGTCGCATGTGCAAATTGCGGGAGAGTTAGTATGAAGCGTGGTGGAAATTTGGGCTGTGATGTCAGCAAGCTTGTTCTGCACAGACTGCAGTCCATATTGGTTTTAACCGATTTCAGCCAGTTTTGTTATCTTAGAGAGTTTCTGCATTTCTTTCTGCAAATTTGAACAGAGTTTCTGCATTTCTTTCTGCAAATTCTTTCTTTTCATATCTGCCATCCTGCAAACTCAAGAATTTTCATTAGTCACTGCTTTCTTTAACTTTTTGGAGCACAGTTTCAGTTTTTTAAAACAATTACTATGACAATTAAAATAGTGTGGTACTGGACTCAAAATGTATGAGTAGATCATTGAACAAGATTACTTTGAAATAGATCCATGTGTGCATGCATGCTTGTTTAGGGTAGAGTGATGAGATGAATTTCAAATCAATGCCAAAAGAATGATTATTTGGAAAATAACTTGGGGGGGCGGTTATTGGGTCTCATTCCTAATGGACTGAAATTTTTAATGAGAAAAACAAAAGCATAAAAGATTTGATACAATTTCCTTGTTGATAGCCAAACAACCATGGATTAAAACAAAATTTTTAAAAAATTTTTTAATTTACCTATTAGGTTGGCGAGTCTTCAGAATGTTTGATAATGTCCTGTTTTGGCAGGAGTGTAAGTGGCACTCATACTTTTGGAATGTAAACTGGTACAGTTTTCCTGGAAAATAATCTAGAAATGTGGATCAAGAATTTATATGACAGAAACAGGAAAGTCAGGTGTGTTGGCACCTGCCTTTATTCTCCGCTACTGGAGGTTGAGGCGGGAACATCAGTTGAGCCTAGGAGGTCAAGACCAGCCTGAACTCTGCAACATAGTGAGACGTTGTCTCTTAAAAAGAGAATTTATGTTTTTGTCTGTTGAAGTAAATTTTTTTTAAGGATATAGTAATGTACAGACCTGTGTATCTAAAGAGAATAATAGCATTATTTATTTATAGCAAAAGATTATGAACCATCTAAATATATAAAAGTAGTAGATTGATTATATCATGTTCCTTCTATACAGAAGACTACATATTATGTAGCCATTAAAAAGAATGAGTGGCTGGGCACAGTGGCTCACGCCTGTAATCCCAGCATTGTGGGGAGGTCAAGTTGGGTGGATTGCTTGAGCCCAGGAGTTTGAGACCAGCCTAAGCAATAGGCAAAACCCTGTCTCTACAAAAATCAGCCAGGTATGGTAGTGCGTACCTGTAGTCCTAGCTACTCAGGAGGCTGAGGTGGGAGGATCGCTTGAGCCTGGGAGGTGAAGGCTGAAATTAGCCATGATCATGCCACTGCACCCCAAGCCTGGGCAACAGAGCAAGACCTTGTCTCAAAAAAAAAAGGATGAGCTAGGTTTGTATCTGTAGACAGAGATTTATGATTAATTGGTAGGTGAAAAAGTGTATTAAAGTACAGTTATAGATTAGAGTACAAAATGAATGAGTATATATGCGTTTAAAAGTATGTATACATATCAGGAAAGGTTACATGAGGATTTTCACTTTCCACTTTATATCTCCCAGTATTTGAATTTTTAATAACAATCTTTTTATCATAAAACTATATTAAATTAAACTTTTAGATTTTTTAGTGGTATAAGTAGAACAGGAACCCTAATACATTGTTTTCTACTTTTGTGATAAAGATAATTCATGATAGATGAAGTTGCAAACCAAAAGATAACCGAGACAGGTCTCAAGCAGTTTAGAAAGTTTATTTTGCCAAGTTTAAGGACATGCCCATGTCGCAGCCTCAGGAAGTCCTGACAACATGTGCCCAAGGTGGTTGGGGCACAATTTAGTTTTATACATTTTAAGAAGACTTGAGATATCAGTCAATATGCATAAGATGTACATTGGTTTGGTCCGGAAATATGGGACAACTGGAAGCTGGGAGGGGGCTACCAGGTCATAGGTAAATAAGAGACAAATGATTGCATTCTTTTGAGTTTCTGATTAGTTTTTCACTGAATGCACAATTTACGGGAATAATCAGTTATGTGTTAGTCTGGCTTGGTGAAGAAATCAGATACGCTTTTTTCTCATGTGAGCAGAGCGATGACTTTGAGCTCTGCCTGTCCTTTGTCCATAAGGAATTTCCTTGAGGGCAAACTGTGAGGCAGATGCGTAGCTTTTTTTTTTTTTTTTTTCTCTTTCAATCTTTCTAGCTATCTTATTTAGGAATAGAATGGGAGGCAGGATTTGCCCAGTGCAGTTCCCAGCTTAACTTTTCTTTTTGGCTTGGTGATTTTCGGGAGATTTATTTTCCTTTCACTAACCTGAGTGGAATCTTGTAACCTTTTTGACCTAGGGCATAGCTAAAAACAGGACTCAACGAATGGCTTTAAAATGAAAGGATTTTATTGAACTCATAGTTTAATTCATATTTTCTTCACAGAAAGTATAAACCAAAATAAAATTCTAAGGCCCCCAGCAACCATCTGAATGGACTTCTTCCTTGGCCACGGTGCTCTTAAAATTTAACTTGAGGCCGGGTGCTATGGCTCACGCCTGTAATCCCAGCACTTTGGGAGGCCAAGGCGGGCGGATCACCTGAGGTCGGGAGTTCACAACCAGCCTGACCAACATGGAGAAACCCCGTCTCTACTAAAAATACAAAATTAGCCAGGCGTGGCGGCGCATGCCTGTAATCCCAGCTACTCGGGAGGCTGAGGCAGGAGAATCACTGGAACCCGGGAGGCGGAGGTTGTGGTGAGCCAAGATCGTGCTACTGCACTCCAACCTGGGCAACAAGAGCGAAACTCTGTCTCAAAAAAAAAAAAAATTTAACCTGAAGGACTGGTTCAGGCTGTGATGGGAAGTAGGGGTTGGACATGCTTCATTATACCTCTCCAGCATTAACATCAACGCAGACCTTAAGTCTGTTAAGGAACAGAGTCTATTCTCTCTGAAGCCTGCTCTCTGGAGGATTCATCTCTATGATAAAACTGTTGTTTCCACAACCTCTTATCACAACCCAAGCATTTCCTTTCTATTGATCCCAGGTCTTTAGATAAACTCAACCAATTTGTCAACCAGAAAATTTTAAAATGTACCTATGGCCCTTATATTTGGCTCAGAATAAATCTCTTCAAATAATTTACCGAGTTTGACGCTTTTCATAGATAAAAGCAGATTTCTTAAATGGCTGTGTTGTGCCTAGACAAGAAATCAGTGTTGAGGCTTGTATTTTTTAAAATTAAATAGGCTACAAAAAATGATTGTGTATAGGGAAAACTCTCTAAAACCATGTTGTTGTTATTTATTTAGGAGACAGAGTCTTACTCTGTTGCCTAGGCTGGACTGCAGTGGTGTGATCTTGGCTCACTGCAACCTCCACCTCCTGGGTTCAAGCAATTCTCATGCCTCAGCCTCCCGAGTAGCTGGGATTACAGGCATGTGCTACCACACCCAGCTAATTTTTATATTTTTAGCAGAGACGGGGTTTCACTGTGTTCAAGACCAGGCCGGTCTTGAACTCCTGGCCTCAAGTGATCTACCTATCTTGGCCTCCCAAAGTCGTGGGATCACAGGCATGAGCCACCATGCCTGGCCTAAAACCTTGTTTTTCCTCTACTCTCATGCCATGACAACACAGACTACTTCTGTGACCAAATGTGTGGGCGGTTTTCTCCACACACCAAGCAGGAGACACCAGCTGGGTGTCCTCTAATTCAGTTCCAACACTGTCTACCCAGAGACAATGTCGGATCCCAGAAGTTGAGGCCTCAGTCTCCAGGACTGCTTTCCACCCCCAACACACACTGATCACAAGTCTGGGCCTCCAGAACTTCTGACCGACTGGCTTCAAGTTGGAGTTCCCACAAGCCCCTCTTTGGGTTTGATTTGCTGGAGTGCCTCATAGAACACTTACTTTTACTGGTTTATTATGAAAGATACTGTTAAGGATACAGGTGTGCAGAGCTGCTGGGTAGGGTGAGGCATGGAGGAAGGGGTGCGGAGCTTCCATGCCCTCCCTGGGTGTGCCACCCTTCAGGAACCTGAATTTTGATTTTAAGGCCTAGTAAGATATATTTTCCTTTTGAATGCTTTTTAAAAATATTACTATTATCATTATTGTTGTTATTGTTATTATTCTGAGACGGAGTCTCGCCCTCTTGCCCAGGCTGGAGTGCAGTGGCGTTATCTCGGCTCACTCCAACCTCAGTCTCCTGAGTAGCTGGGATTACCAGCGTTTGCCACCACTCCCAGCTAATTTTTTTGTATTTTTAGCAGAGACAGGGTTTCACCATGTTGGCCAGGCTGGTCTTGAACTCCTGACCTCAGGTATTCCACCTGCCTCGGCCTCCCAAAGTGCTGGGATTACAAGCATGAGCCACCACGCCCGGCCTATTATTTTTTATTTATTTTTGAGACAGGGTCTCGTGAAGTAATTTTTTCCAGTAGCTGTGGTTGAAAGACCTGTACAGTGATTCCTCAACATCTGAGAGTTTCTTCTCTCTTTAATGAGTACTGCAAATGTATATTTTTAGGTCTTTTTCAGCCTTTACTAAATTCATATGGACGTATGTTACTCAGAAGTGAGTGTAACTGGCCTTTAAGCTCTTTCTTGTTTCCGTATTGACTGGAGGGTAAAATCCAAACTACTTAGCATGAACCAGGAAGCTCTTCCTTGGTCTTCATGATGGTTATACCTCCAGTTTTATTTTATCTTACACTATACCTCATTCATTTTACTCACCCCTTCCAAAGTTTATTAGATGTTCCTCCTCTCTGTGCCCAGAGCACTTAATATGCTATATTGTATTTGCTAATATACCTGTTTTTCTCACCAGATGGAGTGCTTTGTGAGGGCAAATTGTATATTCCTGCCTCACTGAATCCCTAGCTCATAATGTGACTTTATAAGATTGAGTGAAAAACTACTATTTACCAGTAGCAGTTCTGGCTCTCACATTTATTTTATGCCAGTCTCATGCTAATACATACTGTGCAGTCATTTCTTTTTGAATTTATATTTTTATTTTCTATAACATACCTCGAGACAGTACAGTTATGTCATAATCGGTATTACATTTAATTCTCACAGCAATTCTGCAAAACAGCTGTTTCTTAAATGAAAACTAATTTAGAGTTAGCGGTACATGCCCAAGGTCACTTAGTAAAAATTTGAACCATTATGCACACTCTGCTCCCCACCCCCACACCACCCCAGATTCAGAGTAGAAATGTTTTTATCTAATGAAAAAAATCATACTTTACATTGTTGTTTATTATTTCTCCCCTTTTAAAATATAGCTGGTGTATTCTCAGCAGGCCTTGCTCCAGCTGCATTTGTGCCAAATCCATACATTATTAGTGCTGCTCCTCCAGGGACCGATCCGTATACTGCAGCAGGATTGGCTGCAGCAGCTACATTAGCAGGTAACATACTATTTGTTCATCTTTATTATGGTTGCTTTTTAATGTATTTAGTTTTGGGTGTAAGCTTTATTTTTCTCTATTTGGGCAATTTGAAATTCCTAAGAAAAACTGAAACATTATCCAGAATGAACTAAAGTTTCCAGGAAGTTAGTACTATTTTTCAACTGTAATGCTACAGGGAAAAGCTTAAGCAATAACTTTTCCTCGTATACGTAATTGGCTTACATTTCAGCTTTATAGTTTTAGAAATCTATATAGTCAACCATGAATCTCCATTTTAATGACAAACCCCATTACCCGCAGAGACAATGCAAAGTAAAATTACTTCTCAGAAAATAAAATAGAGGTAGGTGGCCTGCATACATAGGTCAGGGGTAGAATAGAGTAAGATAAACAGATACAGTAATTCTGAGAAAATATGTATCTAAAATTTCTTGAGCAATGCTAAAATGTACAAACAAGGTGGGGGACAAAAAGTTTGGATCAAGTTGGAAAGAACGTACTAAAAACTGCCCAGCCTGAGACTACCACCCAGAATCTGAAATAAAAGCCAAAGCTGGCCAGGTGCAGTGGCTCACACCTGTAATCCTAGCTCTTTGGGATGCCGAAGCGCCTGGCCTGGGTGACAGAGTGAGACTGTCTAAAAATGAAAACAACAACAAAAAAGCTGTATTTATTGTCTGTGTAAGTAAGGAAAAGTTGTGTGCTGATCAGGCACAGTCTTATTTGAACAAAGCGATTTGCTGATCTTAGTTGGGGTTCTTGGGAAGAGTTTGTTTTAGGTTGAGGTGGCTACAAAGACAGAAATGAGTTAGTCTGAGGCATTGTTTATATTGATTATACAGGCAAGAATAGGTTGATATCTGCCTTAGAATTTTGTTTATTGGAATGAGTCTGCTAATGGGCTGACTTTCAAAACTTGAGGCTGTCCCTGTTGTTTTTGGGGGGGCTGGGGGGGCTTTGAGCGATATCTTGACTGAAATATTGTCACTAATCAGTTTGAAACCCACTTCTGACAGTCAGTATTTTCCTAGGAGACTGACTTTTTTTTTTTTTTTGAGACAGAGTCTCGCTCTGTTGCCCAGGCTGGAGTGCAGTGGCACGATCTCGGCTCACTGCAAGCTCCGCCTCCCGGGTTCACACCATTCTCCTGCCTCAGCCTCCCGAGTAGCTGGGACTACAGGCGCCCACCACCACGCCTGGCTAATTTTTTGTATTTTTCGTAGAGACGGGGTTTCACTGTGTTAGCCAGGATGGTCTCCATCTCCTGACCTTGTGATCCGCCTGCCTCGGCCTCCCAAAGTGCTGGGATTACAGGCGTGAGCCACCGCGCCCGGCCAAGACTGATTTTTAAAGTCAAGATCTTGTTTTAAAAAACGGGGAAGAAATTTCAGATTTATATTTGATATCTTAGCTACGACAATGAAACTAAGCTGTCATTAGCTTTTGGTGTGGACTTGGATGTGATTCTATAAGGATGTGAGCTTTTCTGGTGCCATTTAACTGGATGTTACTATGTAAAGTGTTGGTATAATACAGAGAACCACTAAACTGTGGGTCTGATAGAAGTAACTTGAAGAGGTCATTTAGTTTGTGTATAAGCATTCTATGTATTTTGGACTTAAGTTTTCTAGGACCAGCATTGTCCAGTAGAAATACAATGTGAGCCAGAAAATGTAGTTTAAGATTTTGTAGTAGTCACAATATAAAAGTAAAAAGCAATAAAATTAATTTCAATAATACTCTTTAATTTGTCCCAACATATCCAAAATATAATAATTTCAGCATGTTAATAAATTCAGGCTCCTGGCTAGGTTGGATGAGTTTCTAGGTAGATGTTATGAATAGAGTTTACAAAACTTATATTTTTTATAATATATCCTTTCATTTTTACAATGTGTCCTTTTTATTTTATTTTTACGATGTATCCTTTTCATTGTTTTATTTTTACGGTGTACCCTTTTTATTATTTTTACAATGTATCTTTTTATTGTTTTATTTTTACAATGTACCCTTTTTTTGGTAAACTCTATTCGGTGTTTTAATAGTCCTCATTTCAGGTTCAGCTTACCTGGCTATCTGTAGAAATAAAAGCTTTTTATTTTAGTGATTCAGTCAAATATACTGGGCTTTTTTCCCCTTTGAATGCAACGTGAAACCGAGAGTTTGACTTTTAAAAATACATTAATACAAATAAAGATGTCCTAAAATTCCACTGATAACATTTTAGGACATGTTTGTTATGTAAGTCAGGAATCATGACATTTTATTCATTACTTTAATGGTGAAGCTTATTGTGCATAAAACTATTTACTTTCTAGGAATCAAATATTATCTTGAATAAAGTAGACTAGAGCAGGAACAATTTATTCTTATTTTCCTAGTTTCCCTTCTATTTTTCTTTCTGCTTATATTATCTAGTGCTTTCTTGTCTTGACTCAGTTTCATTTTCCTAACCACATAAATGCTGACGTCTCATTTGTTTTCTTATAATTTGCAGTTGTTCTGTGAGAATCGTGACTGAAATATGAAAAATATTTTAAAATTTAAGGTTTTCAACTCAAATACCATTGTAGCATGCTTGGTACCAGAATGTTCCCCAGTTTTGTGTTATAGATTGGAAAGTAAAATATTTTAAAAGTATCTTGTAATCCATCTCAGTAGTCAAAATTCTCTGAGAGAAACGATGAATGAGCATTTAAAAAATCTTAGTTTTATGGAATCTGTGTTCCCTGAATATATTATCTGTATAGTGTCAGACCCAAAAATTGGCATTCATTAAATGTTGAATAGATGGTTAAGTGTCCTATCAGTTTATTGGTAGCCTTGAGGTTGGATTCCTTGAGGATGGATTCTCATCTTTTCCCTTTAAGACCATTGCTGTCACCCATCAATACTTTGTCTTTTATTATAAAGACATGTTCTTCTCTAAGTCTTCTTCCTGCCCCCTTTTATAATCTGATGATAGGTAGCTAACCTCATGTCTATGTAAAATCTAGTAACTTTTTATTCGGGGGTCGGGTGTGGGGTTTAGGTCCAGCAGTGGTTCCACCTCAGTATTACGGCGTTCCATGGGGGGTGTATCCAGCCAACTTATTTCAGCAGCAAGCTGCAGCTGCGGCAAATAACACAGCCAGTCAGCAAGCAGCATCACAAGCTCAGCCTGGACAGCAACAGGTAGGCCTTCCTTCTATTAAGTAATACCAAGTATTCTTTGAAATTCTTTGAGCTCCTAATGTTTAAGATTTGTGTTTTTCGACTTACGTTTCCTCACTGTGTAACACGACTCCTGGCATACAGTTGATACGCAAGTATTTATGCATGGGATTTTATTTTTCCTAATCAGTATTATATGAATTTAAAAGATTTGGTTATATTCAGTTTCTGTGTTTCTGTTATTTTGCGATCTTGAAATCTCTAGCAGTTTCTAAATTTCTTTTCATCACTTCATGTTAGTGTGTTAATAATGTTCCTATCAAAATAATTATTCCTTCATATTTTTCCAGGTATTTAAATTACAATTTTAAATGTTAATGTGTTTCTGACCAGTAAAAAGGGATTAGTAGGTATTTTTTATTTTTAAGCAAGAAATGATAAAATATTTTCACTAAAGGTTAGCTTTAATTTCTGGAAAAAGAAAGATGTTTATATCTTTAAAATTTTGAGCCTTTTTCAAAAGAACTAACTTGATAAATCTAAAAACACTATAATAAATAACAGAATTCTGACTGTCACATTCATTGTATTTATACCGAAGAAGCACCATGGTATTGCTTACTTGGCAGTTAAACTTTATTCTGAATTTCCTTTAATATATTTTATTTTTTATTTTATTTTATTTTTATTTTTAGCAGTCTTACTCTGTCACCTAGGCTGGAGTGTAGTGGCACGATCTTGGCTCACTGCAACTTCCACCCCAGGTTCAAGTGACTCTTATACCTCAGTCTTCCAAGTAGCTGGGATTACAGGTGTGCACCACCACACCCAGCTAATTTTTTCTATTTTTATTAGAGACGGGGTTTCACCATGTTGGCCAGGCTGGTCTTGAACTCCTGGCCTCAAGTAATCCACCCACCTCGACCTTTCAAAGTGCCGGAATTATAGGCGTGAGCCACCGCTCTCGGGTAATATATTTTGATTCTACATAGATGCTCTGTTGAAGCTGTTTTTGGCTCAGTCCTTTGACATCATATCACTTCATTGTTTAATAAATTATTTTGTAATCTGTATGTTTGGACAAATGTAATGTCACATTAGCTTAAAATATACACACCTGTGTTTGATGCTTACTTACAGAGAAGGACTTACGACTCCCACTTGTCCTGAGTTGTTTAAAATTAATGATTAAATTTATCATGCTTATGTATGATTGCTACAACAGCTATGTATTGCGGAATAGTAAACCTTGACCAGACTAAGTTTTCACCTTGTTTTGATATATAATCCTGTGTTCTTTTAAAAATATGTTTAAAAGCAGCTTTTACTCTTATTAAGGCTTCTGAATCCTGAAAACTTGGTTTGGTCTGCATCAGTCTCGTAACAAATTCGAATTTATTTGCCGAATCTTTCCGTATTTCCTTTTTCAGCCTTAGTGTTGTTTTGTTTTGTTTTGTTTTGTTTTTTTTGAGATGGAGTTTTGCTCTTGTTGCCCAGACTGGAGTGCAATGGAGTGATCTCAGCTCACCACAACCTCTGCCTCCCGGCAGCAATTCTCTTGCCTCAGCCTCCCAAGTAGCTGGGATGACAGGCACGTGCCATCATGCCTGGCTAATTTTGTATTTTTAATAGAGAACAGGGTTTCTCCATGTTGGTCAGGCTGGTCTTGAACTCCCGACCTCAGGTGATCCGCCTGCCTTGGCCTCCCAAAGTGCTGGGATTACAGGTGTGAGCCACTGCGCCCAGCCTAGAAAATAATTTTAATAAAATCTAATTTTAGGCCGGGTGCAGTGGATCACTTGAGGTCAGGAGTTAGAGACCAGCCTGGCCAAAATGGTGAAACCCCGTCTCTACTAAATACAAAAACTTAGCCAAGCGTGGTGGCGTGCGCCTGTTGTCCTAGCTACTGGGGAGGCTGAGGTGGGAGAAGCACTTGAATCCAGGAGGTAGAGGTTGCAGTGAGCTGAGATCATGCCATTGCACTCCAGCCTGTGTGATAGAGCGAGACTTCGTCTCAGAAAAAAATCTAATTTTAAAGTCTTAAGATTTTGCCATTCCTCCTACTCCCAAACAAATCTTTGGGGAAAAAAAAAAAAAAAACTACCAACTGTCAGCCATGGGCCTGACGGCGCTAAGCTCTGGGGCTCCGTGCACTGACGTGGGGCCAGCCACAGGGAGGCGGGGATCAAGTAGCGGAGGCCAGGATTTTGGCCACCTCCCGGGCAAGTTGCAGGGCAGTGGCGCCGGGAGCAAAAGCAGCATGATGCAGCTCATGCACCTGGAGTCCTTTTATGAAAAAACCTCCTCCTGGGCTTATCAAGGAAGATGACACTAAGCCAGAAGACTGCATACCAGATGTACCAGGCAATGAACATGCCAGGGAATTTCTGGCTCACACACCAACTAAAGGACTTTGGATGCCACTGGAGAAAGAAGTCAAAGTTAAGCACTTACTTTTCATTGGATTGCTTCATAATTTCTTGGTGATGGAAAATTCATTCCTAAAGCAACAAGATTAAAGGATGCTTGGGTTGGCGTTGCAAACGGTATGGTCACCAAATGGGCGACAAACAATGCCCTTTCTTTATCAAAGGTAACTGAAAGAGCAGTTCAGAGTAGCACATGAAGATCCCATATATGGCAGCATGTGAGGCAATAAAAGACATGAAAAGGATGTAAGGATACAGCAGTTAAAACAGTTATTGGAGGATTCTATCTTGGATGAAGATGGGAGCAGCTCCAGTTCCTCTGAAGTAAAGAGAAACACAAGAAAAAGAAGAGGAAAGAAAAGGAAGAAAGAAAAGAAAAAGAAGAAAAAATGGAAGTACAAATCTTCCAAGTCAAATGAGAGTTCTGACTAAGGGTGACGAGGACTTGACTTGTTCAACATTCTCTTCTCAAGAATTAAACACTGTAGCCAAGGAACAGAGGAATATGCAGTCGGTCGGATAAAGTACCAGAATAGAGACGCCGAGCGAGGAGGATATGTGGGTCACAGCAGTGAGCTCCCACCTGCCTTCCAGTGAAGATGTGACCCCAGGAGAAGTATCTCCTTCCATGTACTAGCTCTGGACAGAGGCTGACTTTAGGCAGGAAAGTTTCTTCGATGTTGTCCTCCCTGCTGGTCACATGAGTTTACCATTCATTCTTTTGAAATGTCTTCCACAAGGTGGCAGGACTGAGGGAATCTCTAAGGCATGTCTTCCAGGCCCTGCCACAGCTTGTGCCTTCCACAGTGTGGACTCAGTTCCAGCAGATGTCAGGCTGGAGTCTTCTCTGTTGTTGAGAATAATAAAAGCTCATTATTATTATTATTATTTTTTAAACTACTTTGTTAAAGAGCACAGATATTAGAAATAGTTTTTAACCAAAGATTTTCTGTAACCTCCATGTTGCTTTATAGATTGTTCTAGCTGTTAAGAGCTAGTGATTGTGTTTTTGATGTTAATGTATTTTGTGATTTTTCATGCTAAATCTACATTTCCTTGCATGTAAATGTTTAAAAAATATCCAAAGGCTGTTTGTAATAAATACACAGTTGTCCAAGATAAATTTACTTATCTATTATTTTATATTGATTTTAAGAAAATCATTTTACCTTTGTAGGTTCTCCGTGCTGGAGCAGGTCAGCGTCCTCTTACTCCCAATCAGGGTCAGCAAGGGCAGCAAGCAGAATCACTTGCGGCAGCTGCAGCAGCAAATCCAACATTGGCTTTTGGTCAGGGTCTTGCTACTGGCATGCCAGGTATACAATTGGTCATTTGTGGAAATTTGAATAGATTTCAGATGTTAAGTGTAGGTACTCACACTGAAGAGTGAAAAAAATCAAACTGTATTTAAAATCTTGCCTACCTTGTAACAAAATATTTAGAACTCAGATGCTAATAATTGAAATCAGTATTGATTGTGAGACTCAACGACAGGAATGGTAAATTGAGACTCAACGACAGGAATGGTAAATATGTATCAGAATTCTCAACACAGCCATTTTTTTATAGCATCTATCTAATCCTAACCCAGAATTTTTAATATATTGCTTCAAGAAGTAAAACAGTTATTGAGAGTTGGTATGCAAGACAATCTATTTGCCACTCCTGCTTTATAAGAATAATCTTTTAGTTAATAGCAGAAGTTTGCCGCTAATGTTTCTTACTTTGAACCCTGTTTAATCTTGTTTAGCCCATTTATAGCGTTTAAAACTATTATTTATAACTTAATAGCAACAGTGTCGATAATGTGTCTTTGAAAGCCTAGTATAAAAAATTACAGTATAAAATTTCTACCCATTGCTACTGTACAACTTTTGGGAAAGGGCAACAAAGTACTTTTTTGTGAAATGATCACTAATAATAATGGAGGAAGAACGGTTGTTTTCTAAGTAAAAAAAATGCAGCATTTGTTTTTAAACTTTAAAGCTATATTTGAATATCAGTAGATAAGGCATAACTTGCCATTCTCTTTTGGAGATTTAAGTATGCTTTTTTTCACTTTTGGTATATCAGTGGTTGTCCGTATATGGGTTACTTACTAATGATATTTGAGTTCCAATTTCCATTTAATCATAATGCAGTTTACTTTTCTATTCAGATCATTTAGGAAATGTGTTCAGTGTATTGGAAAAAATAATGACTTGCATGATTGAGAGTTTCTTTTATATATTAAGTACTTGTAAATACTTTGGTTTGTTGTTTGAAGGATTTCTATTTCAATTACATTTATTCTTTCTCTCTGGAATTTTAAGATCTGAATTTATCATCTTGTCTGGTTCACGGGATAAAGAGATTTTCATCCTGCTGTCCCTGAAGTAGAAATGATAGTAGAGTGGGTGGCATTCTCATTATTTTATTTTTTATACCCCAGCCATATATTTTTGCTTCCTGGACTCTACTGTCATGGAGTCATTGTGGATTAGAGACCTTGGCAAAAGCAGACTTTTGAGAAATGGACTGTGAAGCTGAAGTTGTTTTAGGCACATGGACGTTGGGCTGAAAAGTGAGCTGGGAGTTTTTGAGGGCCACTGAGACTATTTTGGGTTCTTCTTAGGTTTTAGCTATATGTAGAACGGAGAGAGGAGTTATGGAGTACAACAATTTTTCCTGCTTAACTAGTTTCTCTGTGGAACCTGGAATTAAGAAGAGTGCCTCTGGCCTGCATGTGTTTGCTGTGTCCTGTAACTCATTGATCCTCCTAGGCTCTTGATGCTGGCCCTATTACTCATTTCTTAGGCACGTGCCACCACACCCAACTTTTTTTTTTCTTTTGTATTTTTAGTAGAGACGGGGCTTCACCATATTGGCCGGCTGGTCTTGAACTCCTGACCTCATGATCCACCCACCTTGGCCTCCCAAAGTGCTGGGATTACAGATGTGAGCCACCACGCCCAGCCACACAACATGTCTTAAAGTGGATTACTTAATCTTTTGAGCCACAACTTTTTAGCCTTTTTAGAAATACAAACGAAAAAACCACTCTCATAAGAAGGGCCTTACTAGGATTTGTATTTGTATGTTTCAGTGACTTTTGGGCTGTTCACATGATCCCCTCACACTAAAACTTTCTTTGATGCCTTCTTTACTTCATTGTGCCCAGACTATGATGATGAAATAATTCTCATTTTCCATATCCAAATAGTTACATAGTTATAAAGCTAATGTGTATACTAAAAAGGGCTCACTTGAGAAAATCGATGTTCCTTCAGGCCTCATACTTTAGCTCTTCTTTCTAGCTTTCTTCAGTACTTTATCAGATCCCTAGTTACTGTTCTATTCTTAACTCTTCTGCTTTATATCCTGTGTGCTATTGTTTTTCCGTCTTGAATCTTTAGTCTTTCCCTCTCCCAATCCTTCCTTTCAACCCCACTGTGCTATTCTGCCTGTTCATCCTAAAAAGCTTTATCTCTGCTCTGCTTCCCTCATGGACTATTTGTCAAAATTTATACTCTATCCCATAACTTTTAAATTCTGCCTCTATAATTCCTTTGCAGTATCTCTAATATAACTTAGTGACAGTTACAAAGTATAATTTCCTCTGTATCTTTTTTTATGCTCAGTTTGTTGCAGTTCACCCTGTTGACTGTGTCCAACTCTTTGTAACTCTTTTCTGCGGAGTGGTATTTCACTCATAGCCTTTTCACCTCTCATTGCTTTTTTATCAGTCTCTGCTTCCTCTATGTATATCCTTAAATATAAAAGACAGTCTGGCTTAATGGCTGCCTTCTTCAGAGTCAGATTTGCTGTATTTCCACCACATAGCTATTGTTTAACCGTGCCCAAGTTATTTTCCTTTTTGAATTTTCGTTTCAGATAGGAAAAGTGGAGATACTTTAGACTTATTCCTCAGGAGAGTATATTTGCATTAATCCTTTCAACTATTATCCCTGTGAATTTACATCTGCATCTTGGATTCTTTTCTGAACACCTAATACATGTCTGTCCTTATACCAGACATTTCTACTTTTATGTTGCAGGCACTCCTCAAATTGAAAATGTCAGAAAATGAACTCACATTTCCAAATTTTCCTGTCTACTGTTTACCTTGTTTCACTTTACTTTCTCTAGAACTAGAAACTCTTGGCTGCAACTTCAAAGTTACCTTTAACTATTGGTTTTCTTCTGTGCCTCCACATCCAATAACTTGCCAATTCTCTACCATTCTGTCTCATGGTCATTTTTATTTTTATGGAGACAGTGTCTGTGTTGCGAGACTGGTCTTGAACTCCTGGCCTCAAGCAATTTTCCTGCCTTGGCCTCCCAAAGTGCTGAGATTATGGGCCTACCAAATCTCTCAACTTCCTTCATAGTCCTGTGCTTTAATGCACTAGACCATATACTGTTACCCAAACATACCATGCACTTCTATGCCTCTAGTCCTAGCTCATGTTCTTTTTTTTTCTAGCTTAAAATACCCCTTTATAAATTTTAAACAAAATTGGTGTATATAGTTCTTGCTTTTTAAAATTTCAGCCCATAAACATTTTGTGATTAACTATCCTTCTCATCTTTTAATATGGTCCCTTTCATGAAGCTTTCCTCAATCTTTCCCAGTGCTCATTCATTGATAATTACTCCCTTGTCTGCTCTCTTTGGTATATTACTTGCATCTTCTTTTAGTACTTCTGTGTGCCTTGCATTTCATTTAGCTATTTGTGGTTTATTTTCACCATTCTACAACTCTTATTTTAATGTGGTCGTAGATGGGAAATGTCTTAGAGAGTTTTGTTTCTCTGAAGGGAAGTTGTTAGATCTATGTCATATGTTAAAGTAAATGGCATTTTAGAATTAAGAAGGGGTGTGTTTCCTCCTGTGCTAGATTGCATAATTCTTGAGTACGAGGACCATGTTTTTTTGTTTTTGTTTTTCAATTCCCCATGTCTTGTCTTCATTCTTCCCTACGTCGTTTTTTTTTCCTTTTCCCACTCTTCATACATTCATCTAACCAGTCACAGACTTTCTCAGTAGCAAAAAGATAATTCAGATGAGATCAGGCACGATCAGGGTTGTATGGCCATAGACAAAAAGAATGGAAATTAGCAACTTTTGAACAGAATTACAGTGAAAATGCTGCATATTTAAACTTGTGGATTAGAACAAAAACATAGCATAGAGAATATATAGGTTTTAATGATTACATTAGAAAATTAGGCTGGAAATGAATGAGTTAAGCATTTATCCAGAAACTCTAAAAAAAAGAGAGAGAATAAAACCAAAGAATGTAGAAGGAAGCAAATAATAAAAATAGGAGCTGATATGAATGAAAAGTAATAAACAAAATAATTATCCCGGAAATTACTTTGAAGACAATGAAGTTGACCACCTCTTTGAAAAGACAATAAAGTTGATAACCTCAGAGACTCATCAAAACAGAGAAGGCATAAATAACCAATAACAGGAAAAGTAATCATTAGCTATTAGGAACAATCTCATGTTAGTAAATTAGAAAATGTTGACTAGATAAATTATGATGTCCATCTTTATCATAAATAGAAATTCTGTTCTTATAATTCTTAGGCCAAAAAATAAGGGGAATCCTTGACTACTTTTTACCTCACATCCCACGTCTAATTTCAGCAAATCTCTAGGGTTCTCCGAATTCAACTACCTTTCTACTGTCACTTCTATTTTGACTTGGTCCTCATTACTTCTCCTCTGGATTAGCTTTCCATCTGGCTTCTCACATCTTCTTGTCCCTCTTTTCTCCCCTATGGAGTCCTCTCTCTACATAGTAACTTGGGTGTAAGAAAAGTCGAAGTAATTCACTCCTCTCCTCAAAACTCTAATGGTTTCCTGCCTGAAGTCAGAGTAAAAGCTCAAGTTATTAACAGTGACCTGTAAGGATCTGGCCCCTTGTTGCCTGTCTTACTCTTTGCTCCGTCTCTCTTTCAGTCGTACTGGCTTACTTTCTGTGTCTTCTATTTGGAGATGCCTTCCTACAGATATCTGCTTGACTAGTTCTCCCAGTTTCTTTAGATTTTTCCTCATATGTCATCTTGTTATGGAGATTCTTCATGATTCTCAGCTTTGAATTATTAACACTGTTGTCACTGCCCAATAACTTCTATCCACTTTCCCTGTCTGATTTTTCTCTCCTTTTAATATGTAAAACTGTCTAACATACCTTTTTACTTATTTTTCATTTATCTCACTTGAAGCAGAAAATGATCTCCTTTAAGGATATTTTTCCTTATTTTTCCCTGCTTTATCCCAGTACCTAGAATAGTGGCTGGCATGTGGTAGCCACTTGATAAATATTTGTCAAATGGATGAATTTATGAAAAATTAAGCTAAGTAGAGAATGAGAGTGGGAAAAAATATCATGCTGTGACAGAGGAACAGAATGCACCAAACTCCTGTGCTGAGGGGAATCGTGGTGCCTCTGAGGAGTTTGAACCCCCATTTTTCCCAATACGTAAAAGGTACATGAGTACCAGGTAAAACTAGAAAGACAGCCAGGAACCAACCAGATCATGTTGTGGGCCATATTCAGAGCTTTGCTTTTCATTTCAAACCCTTTGGAAGGTTTGGAGCAAGAGTGTGGATTGATATCTTTTTATATCAATCTCAGACCACAGTCTCTGTGGAGAATGTGTTACAGACATGGGACAAAAGAGCAAGGGCAGACCATATAATCTGGTTGGACAGGAAAGTAGCCATCAAGAGAATGGATGGATTTGAGAAAGATTGGAAGGTAAATGAACAGGACTTCAGAGTTGAGTTGACTGTGGGTTATTTCCTCTCTGGGAATTTATATACGCAAAATTTAGTTAAGGAGCAGTTAAGTGCTGTTTGATTTGTCAGTAGAGTGTTTATAGCCAAATGTCCAAATGGATTTACTTTTATTTTTAATTCAAATTCAGATGTTAAGTAAATGACAATGTTTTTGAACAAGAATGTTTTCTGTGTGCCTTGGATTTAGGACTAGACCACACATACCAGTTAAGACTATTGACTGGCATGTACAGTTTGAAATTTACTAGTAATGTGGATATTTTATTAGCAGCGTGCTAATGCTTATTCTTGATCAGAATTACTGTATTTACTAAAAACAACCTATGCATGTGTGTCTTACAGGTGAAGTGTTTATCTGAGCACTGTTTATTATATTTGAGCTGAATTTAGCCTACTGTGTTTAAAGGCAATAAAATGTTCATGCTGCATTATCACTAATTTTACTGTAACTCTCACTTCTGCATAGTATTAACAAAATAAGACTTAAAAATTGATGTTGGAATGTATTTCAGTATAGTCTGTGTTTTTAAAAACTTCTTAAAGGACCAGACACAGTTGGGAGGCTGAGGCGGGAGGATCGCTGGCCCAGGAGTTAAAGACTAGGCTAGGCAACATAGTGAGGCCCTATTTCTGTAGAAAATAAAAATAAATTATCCGGACCTGGTGGCATGTACCTGTAGTCCCAGCCACTTAGGATGCTGAGGCGGGAGGATCATGTAAGCCCAGGAGTTTGAGGCAGCAGTGAGCTATGATTATGCCACTGTGCTCCAGCCTAGACAACAGAGCAAGACAGCACTCTTTAAGGGAAAAAAAAGTTGCCAATGCATGTTTTGCTGATAGTTGTAAGGTTATTGGGCCTCAGTTTTTTGTCGCTTTATAAGGCAGCCTTTCTAAACTGAGTTCCAGAAAAGAATAAAGCCTTATTACTGCTCTGAAGTATCCACAGTGTATATAGCTAACTTCTCTCCTGTGATTCCAGAGTGATGCTTGTTATATACCATCCTTAGGAGAATTAACAAAATACTTACTTAAATCATTTTCTGTGTTTTTGGTTCAACAGAGAATCTCCATTGAGAAAGGCTGCTAAGAAGTTAACTTTATTCTCCACTATTTGTGAAGATTACCTACCTTGTGCTTAAGGCTACAATAAAACTAAAGCCTGTGTGATTTTTAATTAAACTCTAGCTTGAGAATCTTCACAAATAGAATGTTTGGCTTAAGTTTTTAAAGAGATGATTACAAATGAAAATCTAACGGAATGCTGGTAATGAGGCACTTGATTTTGAACTTCAATGAAATTGCACAGTAAACATTTCGTACAGTGTTCTACCTCGCTACTCCCAGTTTTTTTAATCCTTCTTCTTCGAAGGGCTAAATGGTGATTTTTTTTTTCTAATATCAGCCCTTCCTTCATAGCCTGTAGTTTCTATATTAAGGAAAATACCTCTTCATTTTGTGGCCCCTGAGTAAAATTTAGAGAAAAAATGTTTAATGACAGTCTATTACTTTTTCATATATTTAGTAAGACCTTGTCAAATGTGTTGCTTTGCATATATTAACTAAGGATTTTATAGTAATGGTACAAATAGCTGTGTTGTCTAGTTGAAAAAATACAAATGCAGGGAAAAACAAATATGCATGTTTTTGTAATAAGTGCTTTCATTAGTAAACCTTTATTTTATTTAGGCTATCAAGTACTAGCTCCAACTGCCTATTATGATCAGACTGGTGCCTTAGTGGTTGGCCCTGGAGCAAGGACTGGCCTTGGAGCTCCAGTTCGGTTAATGGCTCCAACACCTGTTTTAATTAGTTCAGCAGCAGCACAAGCTGGTAAGTGTAACTGACATTTTTAGGATAATATTTTTCTGGTGTTGAGATACCATTTTTAAAATACAGAATTTTCTGGGTGGTTTAAAGAAGTATCTGAAATTTATTTTACAGCAGCAGCAGCAGCAGCTGGAGGAACTGCAAGTAGCCTTACAGGCAGCACAAATGGTCTGTTTCGGCCAATTGGCACTCAGCCACCACAGCAGCAGCAACAGCAGCCAAGCACTAATCTGCAATCTAATTCATTTTATGGAAGCAGTTCTTTGACTAATAGCTCCCAGAGTAGTTCTTTATTTTCTCATGGACCTGGTCAACCTGGAAGTACATCTCTTGGCTTTGGAAGTGGTAACTCTTTGGGTGCTGCTATAGGCTCAGCCCTCAGTGGATTTGGTTCATCAGGTAAGTTTGTTTTTACGATGAGTGTACTCTGCTAAGTGGAAGAGGTATATGAGTGTGTTTAACATTAAAATAAGCAATAATAGCATGTAGGATAGGAAGGACAGGAATAAAGTATTGGACTACTGGTTTAATTTGTAGGAAAAAAAAATCCTGCAAATCTTTTCAACACTCACCAATGTTTAACTCACTATAGGCAGCCTGTTCTTTACTCATATATAATACATTTCCTTTTTCCCTGGCTCTAGGAATTGATTACTGTAATTTTTGTTTTAGTAGGGTTTATTTGGGTCAATATATTATTCACTAATTATTAGCTCATCTTCATTCACTACATAATGTTTGTGGAGGCAAATATTTTGCCGTCTTAAATTTTTGGTATTTTAAAGCAGTTATCTTTGTGTCCTTATTAGATGGTTTATTCTTATTAAATGCTGGTAGTTTATTACAGTTTTTAAATTTGGCCTAATATAAAAAATACATATGTGTATGTATAAATACTGAAATGTTCTACACAGAATCCCCTAAGAAGCTACCAGTATGGTTATCTTTTAGATTAAATAAGTTAGCCTTTGTCACTAAAAATTCACTTAAAAGGGTATCTATTCATGTATCTTAGCTTTATATAACACTTAACAAATCAAAATTTTAAATAGCTTCACTAAATAATTGACCCACTCAAACTGGTTCCTGGATCCTGTGGTAGAGGAAGAACTAAGTGAAATCAGAAGAGGCCCACGTTGACTTCTTGTTGATACACTTGGTGTTTTCTGTGAGGTTTCCACAGTACTCAGGAAACATTAGGGAAAAAACAGCTGACCCAGTTCTATCGGTGCAGCTGGCAGCTTTTACTTCATGAGGATAGGACTATTTGGACCTCAAGAGATTTTCTGTTTCTATAACATAACTTGCTACAGTCCTTAATATCTGTTTCTGATCTCTTTTCTTACCACATCAAATTATATTCTTTTCTGGTGTGGAAAATGGCAGAACTAACACATGCCAGGCATTATTAACAATGCTTGCCAGTTTTCTAAGGGAGTGTCTTCTGAACTTTTATCATTCATATATACAGGAAGGATGGTCTAGAACAGCCACAAACTTTTAGATGGCAGAATCTTTTTTCATTTATTGTAATGAAATACAATAAGTGGATGTCATATTGGACTGACACAAAATTATCTGAAGACTGCTCATAAGAATTTCTGAGGGAAAATCCAGTGAACATGGGGATTGTTAAATCTTTTCAATTTTGTACTTGAGTTTTTTCATTGCTTTTGGAGTTGTGTATCTCTTTGTCCACCTCACGCACTCCCATAGGACTCATTCCTTGTTTCTAACACAATTGGGACATTTTCTCCAAAGAATCCTAAATATTCTGAGGAAAACTGGAAGAACAAGTAACATAAAAAACAAACTTGTGGAAATAGTTTTTAAATTATAAATTGTAGGCCCTAAATAATTCAGAAAAAAGAGAGCATTGATTAAACCCCATGTTTCCTTTCTCACGTAGTATGTCACTGATCGTCTGGTTCAGATTTCTAGGCCCCTACTCAATTCTTTCAAATTTCCATTTGTTTCTTAGTTAAGGCTGTTTTCCCCCTTTCAGGAATTGATTGACATGAACATTTTGTCCACTACAGATGCCCTGTTTCCCCAAAACTAACCTTCACACCTCCATTATTTACAAGCATGGCTTACTTAATTCTGACTCCAATCTGTAAGAGCTTCATTTTACCTTGCTTTAGAGAGCATTAGTGATTGCCACCCCTGAATGCCAGTAAAGAGTCCATCGTATCTCTCCTCTTGGGCATTTTGTGGGAGTTTTTTCAAGTGCTATATATATGGACTCTTACAAGTTTGCACACTGCCTTTTCACATTATGGCAATTACATACTTACATGAGCTCTAAAACATAATATGGTTGTGTGCCTGTATACACATATACAAGTAACATACACAGTCCTTCTCTTACCTCTATGATGAAATTATTAATGTTTAACAGTGTTAAATACCCCATTTTATGATATAGTTGGCCAAGAAGCCTAAACATCGTAACATATAATTTAAATCATCTTTTCTATGACCTGTTATTTTTTAAAGTGTTGTTACAATTGAAAGTTTATAATTTAGCCTTTTTTCACAGTCGATGAATGATTAGCAGTCTGTCTACCCTCTTAGATATTTTAGGTACACTTTGTTTCATATCTCATAGTCATACTGTTGGAGATAATTTAGACATATAGTAAAACTTAAAGAGCCAGCTTCTTTATATTTAAGGTTATTTCTGAATTATTTTTAAATGTTTGGCTTGACTTTTCCTTTTTGGAGGAAAATAATATTGCATGTGTCAAAACTGGTTTCTTGGATTATTTGTCAGGGGAATAATGCTGCTCTTATTAGAGCTGTTGTCTTTTCATTGTCAGTTAAATTGTTTTCTGAAATAAATAGGAATTTAAAATGTAGCCATATTTTAGAAAAATCACTTTGACAGTGTCCTTTTAAATTAGCATAGTTAATGTAGCATACATTGCCAGTTTTACCAAAACCAACTCAAGAATAACTGTTTATTACATGTGCTTATAATTCACTTTTGCAATAAAAATGCATATAGACACCTAGTATTTTCTTACTATGATATCTTAAAATGTAAAATCTTCAACAAAACATGATCAGTCTCAGAAACTGCATTGGCTGGTATAAAAGGTTGAATAGCATTATAATCTTTTGCCTAATGTGGTAGCATAAGCCTGGTTTTTTTACCCCTTTATAGAATTTTGAATTTGGCAAAACCAACGTAATTAAGTTTTCCGTCTGTATTATACTCTTACCTTGGTCTACCCATGATGTACTCTCCTTAATTTTTTTCTTTATACCCTGTATGACCTATTTATATATGACTTGTGCTTAAATAAGATTTAATAGAAACTTAGATCCCTTGAAAAGCATTGCCATATTGGTCCGAATATAGAGCTTGTCATTTAAAAATGTATTTGGCAGGTTCAGAAATGTGGTTTGAAATTTTCTTAGATGTAAAAGTTATTCAGTTAAAAGAGGCTAGTGCTTAGAAATAGGAAGGAAACGTACTTGAATATATGGGCTTTAAGTGAGACTTGAGAACTGAGAGTTTGGACAGCCCTTAGAGATGCATGCTGTGGAATTTGATTATCCAGACAGGTGTTGATTAACAGCCAGATCTTGATTAGCTCTTCTGAGCATGTATAGCTCACCAGGGCCTACATGACCTTTATTTTCTGCACTATAAAAGGAAAAAGGATTAGAAGGATAATAGTTACATTTGATATTAAGTAAAAATTTGGTATGCATTGTATTAAGGGATGTAAAGTAAGAGAAATTGTGTATTATCAAATGACAAAAACCTGATCAGCCTTGAGTAAGGGGCTCAGGAGGCAGTAGTACTAGCATCTTAGGAGTAGAAGAGTCCTGTGGGATAAGTGAAAGTATGTCTTTGGTTTGATAACAGTGAGAGCTATTAATTTTAGAAAAGTCGAGTTACTTTGTAATGTAGTTAAAGAACAAGGGAGAATGCGTAGTGTAAAAAATACTGTTGAGTTAGCTGCTCACTGTATTTCACAACTGATCAATATTCGGGCCAATATGGACTTAAAGGGCTATGTTTTGAACACAGCTAGATGACAAATTAAATATGAATGGTGAAGGAAATGTACTAATTATTTATTCATATAATCTTTTCTTGGCATTGAGTTAAAGTCTAAGAAGCAGGTTTCAGAGATTAGGATACTATCAGAATTTAAACTTAATGGAATTTAATCTCTAGCATGTCCTAATGCAGACAACTTGCAATTCCAGGGTTTATAAATCATACCAGGGTATTAAAGCACAGTAATCAGATGTGTCAGTGGTAAATATGTGTGAAATAATGAATCATATGACTGCTCTGTTAAGTATTTGGTTCTTTATTGGGGTGCATTTATACCCTTTTATGATTAATAAGTTAGTATATATAGTTATCACAGTAATTATCTTCTCCAAAATGTTTCTAAAAATAATTATTGTGATCACTTCTGTTATTGCCCAGCGAGAGTTGGGGATAGATTTTATTCAGTTAACACTGTATGTAATTAGGGTTTTTTTTATTTCTTCTTCAGTTGGCAGTTCTGCAAGTAGTAGTGCCACAAGGAGAGAGTCTCTATCTACTAGCTCTGACTTGTACAAAAGATCTAGTAGCAGCCTAGCACCCATAGGGCAACCATTTTACAATAGTCTGGGATTTTCCTCCTCTCCAAGTCCAATAGGCATGCCTCTGCCAAGCCAAACTCCAGGACATTCACTTACGCCACCGCCATCACTTTCATCACATGGATCCTCATCCAGTTTGCATTTAGGTAAAAAAAAAACCAAAACCCTTTTTATTTGTATGTATACATGTATGTGTGTTTGTGTGTGTGTTTATAATATATGTAAAATATTTAATGTTGGTTAAAACATGCCAAATTGCTTTTGCTTTTAGATATTAGTCTTTTGAAAAAGTTCTACTTTCCTGAAAATTCAAAGTGAGGGTCTAATGTACAATAAGGTAAAGACCCCCCTATTGTTTCTTATGTTTTTTTTATGAAATATAATGGTGTGTTTTTTCTTGTCTGTGCTTTTGATTTGTGTGTTTTAGAGCATCTGAAAAGTCAACTATATAAACATAATAGTGAAAGAGAAATTTCACTATCAAAAGATTTGCACACCATAAGAAAAACATTAGTTACATAGCTACTGAACTAGGTTAGTACACTGGTTTTTGCTTTGGTCTTTCTATGCCTGGCCATTTTACCAGATAATTATTTCAGTGAATTTGAATTTAGTGTATTTGTCACTTAAGGAAGCTTATAGGCTTGGGCCATATACTTCTTTTTTGGATATGTTAAAGAAAAAAAATGTTTTAGGCTTGTTGTACCCCTGAAGTTGGAGCATTGAGAACTTTGTTTATATTTGTATATTAAAATTGTTCCCACCCCCAAATTATTAAATTGGTGATTACCTTTTTTCCCTCTCCAGGAAGTATTTATCCATGTAGATAATACGTTTTGAAGGGCTTTGGATATCAGGGGCTGTGTATGAATCCCTATCTTGTCAAAGAAATTATTTTTTTAAAACTTTATTTTGAATTTTTATAATTCTAGTTATTCAGCTGAAACTGAGGGATTCTATTGCCAGCTTTTATGTAATTGGAAAGATTTAAATCAGCTTGTGTTTTAAAAAGTAATGTTGCTACTGTAAGCAGATGTACTGTAAGTTAGTGATTATGTTTGACCACCCCCTCCAATTACATGGGTATAGCTATTTAAAAGAAAAAAACAAAAACAAGCAAAAAAACTTACTAATACAATAAATGTCCATGTAACAAAGGTATCTGTTGCAGTGTTCATTTTGATTTACATTATTGCACACACACTGGGCTAGATTTCTTTTTTAAAGACTCTGGTCTTCCACCCCAAATTCTGGGCCTTTGCTCATTTGGGGTATTGATACTGAACATATACAGCCAATTAATGTATTCAAATGGAGCCCTAAGATCCACTTTGCAGTACTAGATGTGTAGATTTACCTATCTTTAGCCTAATACCTTTCTTCATTTATCATGTATTCTTAGTCGCAGGAGCTGCTCAGCTCCTGATTTCTGTTATTACTGCCCAGGCATCCTCCCTTCATAAGACATGCCTATGAAATGGACACAAAAATTTGGAACACAACAAATCTAAGACTTATCATAATAGTTTTTTGTTTTATTGTTAAGATTTTGTCATGTCCTGTCATCTTTTCATAGGTAAGTTTCAGATCAGATTCTTGTTCAGCTCTTAACTGCTGTGTTGTGCTTTAGTGCCTGTATAAATGGCAGTAAATAGGTTCTACACAGCTTGCTTAGAAATCGGATATAAATGACTTTTTAGATGTCTCTATGATTGAACAGCAATCTAGATATGTGCTTCTCTACCTTTCTTTAGGTTGTAAAGAAAGCAGCCTAATAGATGCTTAGGGAAGGAATTCTGGTCAGTTGTGGGAAATAATCACCACTGGGCCAGCATTCTGCATTATAGACTAACATAGCTTCAGCTTGAAATCTGATATTTTAATACACCTCTGATTGGAATTAGCAATTACCTGTGTTATTTTCTTTTTGTGACCCCCAGTTTCCCATAGTTTTAGTGGTGGTATGACTGGCAACATTGTTAACAACAAATAGACCCATGCCAGACTGAAAATAACTTGAAGGATTTCATAAATTTTCTTTTTGCATACTATTCATGGAAATAATCTACTCTGCACTTCCCTATGAATGGATCATGATGCAAGGCTGTCCAAAAAAAAGAAAAATATTTCTTTATGAATCAAGTCTCAAGGCTGATAGTATAAAAGACTTATGGAAATGGAATTTGCATATTTTTAAAGTAATTTTACTGAGCTCACATATCAAGAATATGAAATCATGAGATAGAGATAAGTTCTCTCAATTCTCATTAGAATTGGTTGGAATTAATTCCAGATTATTTTTCTGGGAGATTTTATTTTAAGATGTGAATGTTACAACCATTACAGTTACCTGTAAGGCTTGAGATCTGCATCCCCAAAGTATGTTCCTTTGTTAGTGTTAGTTATTTGAGATTCACAGAAAATGCCCAGTAGCAACAGTCTGTGCTGTCTTTCAAAAAAAAAAAAAAAAGTTTTCATTTTTTAAGATAGGCTTATAACCAACACATGTATTTTTAGCAGGATGACTAGTAATCACTTTTGGGTTGAAGTATAAGAATTTCAGTGCATAGTTTTGGGGTGTTAATTTTTTTATAAAAATCTAAAACACTTGTTCAAATTTGCAGCTCTGTTGCTTATTCTAATATATTAAAGTTAGATGCATGAAAAAATTTTATTCTTCCATTTTTTATAGTATAATATCTGAGGTTCTATTTCAAAACAATAACTACAGTATATCATACATTTTAAAATAATTTATTATTAACTCTAATCTCCCTAATTGACTTAAATGTCTTTAACAATTGTTCCATTTGAATCACAGTCAAAATAAGGTTCATACATTGCATTTGTTTGATATGTCTTAATGTGTAATTGTTTTTCCTTCATCTTTTTTTTCCCTTTCCATTTATTTGATGAAGAAACTTTATCCTATTTATTTTCCCACACTCTTGACCTTGCTGATTGCTTCCCCATAGTAGTATTTAAGATGTTCCTATGTCTCTTTCCTGTAAACTGGAATTCGATCTAGAGGCTTGGTCAGATAATTTATGGGTTGGTTGGTTTATTTTGACAACATGGGGTTCTGTTAGTTTTTGTTGCACTGTATCGGGAGACACGTGTTTGGTTGTCTCCATTGTGAGATGACCAGCCTGATCCACCTAATGGTTTTAGCAGCCTTTGATAATTTTTTTTCCAGAGGTTGCAAAATGATAATTTGTTAATTGTGTCATTCTTTATTCATTTATTATCTGGAACTTTTCTATAAAGAAGAATAGCTATCCCTCATCAGTTGTAAGGTTACAACTGATGACAGTTCATGTAAGAGTCAGAATAATGCAAGATTCTTTCCTTTACTTTCAGAATAATATTGATGCCCTAGCAACTTTTAAAGGTGACTCGTGTTTTTATCCTCATTGTTATCTACAAATGGGTAGATTTTGGGGATAATTGATATGTTTCAGTTCATTGCAGTGTAAGACATCAATTTTATATCTATTTTTGGTTCTAAAATTACACCTTCTTTGGCCCCTTGGAGCCCCTTTATATTGGTTCTCCTGTTGACAACAACTTGGAGAGAGAATGATTTTAGGATTAATAGTTTATACCCTGAAATGCAGAGAACAGTGTAAAATTCTGGGCTTCAGGTTCAATATTAAATATTGAGTTATTTTCTCATGTTGTATTAATCTATAGGAGGGGGGCAATCTACCTACAGTTGTTTTATACATCATTGTCTAGGATAGAAGTAAGCATCTTTTTTTTTTTTTTTTTGGAGATACTTCACTTGTTGTGAAGAACATTAAATATTTCTAGTATTGCCTTATTTTTCTACCTGGAGCTAGCTGACTAGTTCTTTCCTTGTTTTCCTTCTTCTAATAAACTTTTTAAATATAGTGTTGATAATTTTTTTTAACTCCAGTCTTTGTGCTCATAGTAATTTGATTGATGTGGAACTTACTAGGTATAAAGCAGTGTTCGTATTTTTGTTATTTAACTTAGGTTTTGACAAACTAACGGCTTCTTGCCCTGTACCTCTTCATTTTTGAACTAGCTATTTTTTTCTTAACAAAAAGGGTGCTAAAGTGTAATGTGGGCTTTGAACCCAGTAAAATTTATTGAAAGGGGACTATGAAGTCTGAAGAATGTCATGTATTCAGCAGGTAAACAGCTGTGCTTTAGTTTGCTGTGGATTATAAAATTTCCTAACCTGTCTTCCAGTTACAGAAAATTTTAATAATAGGCAAGATATTATAAATTTTTAGAATCATTCTGTTTAAATTGCTGGCCTTTGGCAGACTTAGTCTTGTGCTTCTCTTATGATAAAATATTCAGAGAAGTAAAATTAGTACTGCAAAGTTGATAGTAAGGCCACCTGCCATTTTTCTGAGTTTCACATACAGTCATTAATGAAAGCAGAAAACAATATGAATTATTCGAAGCATTCACTGAAAATACTGTTATCCTTTAGCAGTTACAGTTCTCTGTAACTGAATAGCATTCGATAGTTTTTTTTCTTAAAGCACCTTCATATTCATATTTCATTTCATCCTAATTGTTGGCATAGACTGTCAGAGTGGTTTGTTGATTAAAGATGAAGAAATTAAAGATCAGTTGATTAATAGACTTTCCCAAACCAGTGAATAACAGAATTAAGGCTAGCATCCAGTTCTGACTCGTGATACTATTCTTCGTTTTTCCATTATGCTATTCTATAGGAACTGAACAATTTTACAAAGTATATAAATAACTTATTCTAATTAGCCTCTCAGAATCTAATGATTACCTCATTATGGTATAAGTTATGCTTTTCTTTGGTTAAAGTATGTATAGGATTACCAGCTTTTTAGGTTCCTTTCTCAGTTTAGTTATTCTTGAGATTTAGATAAAAATACTTGTCTAAGCACATATGTTATATTTGTACTTCTTATTTGTAATAAGAATACTTGTTAATCTAAGGCAGGCAATTTAGGGACTGTGTATAGAGCAGCACACCCGACTCTCAACAGAATCTTACTTACAGGTTCTCATGTTAATATAAATTGAAAAACAGCTACAACCCTCTGGTAGACCTAGAAGTAATTTATTTGCTGATGAGTAGGAAATAATGTTTTGAAGAAATTACGTTACTAGTTGTATGGAAGAATTTGTGATGTTTGGTTTTCTGTATAAAAATGTCTTGATCTTGGTTGTACTTGTTTTAGATTACTAATTTTTTATTTATTATCCTTTAATAACATTATCAGTGACATTGTGGTTCTAATGTCTGAGAAAGTTTTCACCAGTTAATTTACTTAGTTAAGATAATCACAAACTGAAGACTAGAAAATACTTGATCCCATCCTGTGTTTTGGCATCAGAATCACTCTGGCCACTTGTTTAAAATGCCTCGTAGTAGACTTCACAAGGATGTGAACAGTTTGCAAATGTGCGGCAACAGGGTTTGCTCGTTACAATGATTGTGGGGATTCTATTGGCATTAAATGCCTGGTAGCCAGATGTTATACTTTGCATAGTCAGCACAAAAATAGTTTCGTCCCACTGAAATTTTCAGTAGCCTCCACATGAAAACACTGACTTGAAATAATTTGTAGCTGGCAGAGATTATTTTAATCTACCAAGAATTCACCTGTAATTTACACCATCCCACCATGCTTATAAGGTACCCTAAGGATCAAAAGGTAGCCTTTAAAATACAGGCAGATGTGCTTCATGAGAGATTTGCAGTGTTAGCCAAATAACATAAAAATGAAAGTAGCATATATCTCTTAGAATGGCTTTGAAAAGTTGTTTCTTATATGTAGAGAATATTTTCACTGGAGTTGGTTTTGTTGTGATATATCTAGGAATGGATCCAGCAGAAGAAGTGCAAGATCTTTTACATTATAAACTATAAAATGCTGATGGAAGTTACAGATGACTTAAATAAATGGAAGGACATACCATATTTTAGGTTGAAAGACTCCCTATTATAAAGATACCAGCTTTCTTCTAGTTGGTCTAAAGATTGAACGCTATCAATAAAATTAGGTTTTAAAAAGAAATTGATAAGCTGATGCAAAAAATGAAAATGGAAAAGCAGAACCAAAAGTAGTGAAGACAGTTTTGAAAAGCAAAGTTAGAAAACTTAATACTGCTGGATACCAGAACTTAGAAAGCTACAGTAACTAAAACTACGGTATTGGCACAAGGATAAATAAATAGAACAGCGGAACAGAGTAGTGCATCCAGAAATAGACCTACTCATTTAGATACCTAATGACCAAGTTGCCACTCCAGTGTATATGAGAAAAACAGGTGTTTCAGTGACTTGGGCAGGAGTAGTTGAATATCCAAATGAGGGGGAATGAACTTTGACTTCTGTTTCACACCACACATACACATATGCACACAAACACGCTTTATTCTCAAAGAAATTACGTGACTTATATTCATGAAGTTAGTAAGAGGCAGAACCAAAATTTTGAGCCCACGTTTATCTGGCTTCTTCCAGATGTTGTACTGCTTCTCAAAGGATGCTTTTCTATTTATTTATTTATTTATTCATTCATTCATTCATTCATTCATTCATTCATTTGACGAAGTCTTGCTCTGCCCCCCAGGCTGGAGTGCAATGGTGCGATTTCAGCTCACTGCAGCCTGTCTCCCAGGTTCAAGCGATTCTCCTGCCTCAGCCTCCTGAGTAGTGGGGATTACAGGCGCCTGCCAGCACGCCCAGCTAATTTCTGTATTTTTAGTAGAGACGGGTTTTCACCATGTTGGTCAGGCTGGTCTTGAACTCCTGACCTCAGGTGATCCACTTGCCTCGGTCTCCCAAAGTGCTGGGATTACAGGTGTGAGCCACCATGCCTGGTCAGGATGCTTTTATTTCTAATACCTATCCGAATAAATTAAAAGGACCATGTTTCCTATGTTTCACATCTTTGTAAACTTTTTATAAAATTGTAGTAAAATATAATTTAACCTATTGTGACTTTGTGGAAAAAGTGAGTTTGAATGTCAGTGTTATTGGCTTTTTTGGGTTTTTCACTTGCTAACAATTGATCTTTAATCCAAATTAAATGCTATTTACTTTAAGGGTCTTTTAAATATTTCATTACTAATTTTAAGTTAAAACTGATCATGTACAGTGGCTCATGCTTGTAATCCCAGCATTTTGGGAGGCTGAGGCGGGAGTATTGCTTGAGCTCAGGAGTTCGAGACCAGCCTGGGCAATGTGGCGAAACCCCGTCTCTATTAAAAATACAAAAATTAGCCGGGTGCGGTGACATGTGCCTGTAGTCCCAGCCACTTGAGAAGCTGAAGTGGGAGAATCGCTTGAACCCAGGAGACGGAGGTTGCAGTAAGCCGACGTTATGCCACTGCATTCCAGCCTGGGCATGACAGATCGAGACCCTGTCTCAGAAAAACAGAAAAGAATCTTGTTTGTAATACTTTAAAATACTGTAAATAGTATATAAATAGCAAGTTTTGTTTTTATTTCTAATTACTGAAAGTAATTGCTATTTTATCTTTTCTATAGTTTTATTAGACTCCTTTTTAGAATTATGTGATTAAAATTGTTACTTATTCAATATTGAATATCTGTGTTCAATACAATATTGAAGCCAGCCTCTGCTTGACTAGGAGAAAAAAACATCCTTATTCACTGTCATCGAGTTTGTAGCTTTGTGGTAAATACAGATAAAAACAGCAGTTACAATATAATGATTGTAATGTTCTTGTCTTATTTCACTTTATTTCATAATCTTATTCTGTAGAAACATAGTGATTTCATTGGAATTATTTTCCTTTATGGGTTTTTTGAACCAAAATTAGCACACATTGGATTATAATGGAATTGTTTCTAGGTTTATTTTCTCCACTAGATTAGAAACAAGAAAGCCCAGGCCTTTTTCTACAACTAAAAATACTCAGATTTCATTGAATGTTTGGGTAATTGAATTTGAGTGGTTTTGTTTCTTTGTTTTATTGATGAATTTATTATTGAGTAAGGACACTTCCTTTTTAAAAATTACTTGGTATCCTACATAGATTACTATATTAAAGCATTATTTGGCTGTTCTCAATCAGTGTTTTCTTTGTTCAGTGTGCCAAGATCATACTCTTTAGAACATTGCATTATGAAAATGAAGTTTTGACAGTCAGTTGTGGAGTTTTTGTTTTGTGTGTGTGTGTGTTTATTTGTTTTTTACCTTCCCAGTTCTTCAGCCCTCTTCCCACCACCACAATGACCCCATCAAGAGAGACAATAAATGTACCCATAATGTTTGTGTAGGATCAGAATTTATTCCAGTATTCACAGCTTTTGAAGCAAGCTTTAAGATTGCATAAATCCTTAGTAATCATGGTTTAAGAGAAACAATCCCAGCTCCTATAATTTTTCTTCACTCCAATCAGAAAGGCAACTGGCCATGAAATCTCAGCTGGAATATTTAAAAGGAAATTCAGATATGGCTTGCTCGTTTGTTAACTTATTACCAAATGTATTAACCAAAGGAAAGAATTTAGGCCAAATCTGACAGGGTCATATGACATATGCAGGGAAAAGCCAACAGGTTCCTATTAGGCTACTCGAACTCATCCTACTACTACTACTCTTTTGCGGGGTTAGGGGTAGGTTTTTTAAAATGTTCTTGTGTCCATCAGTCACAAGAGGAGGTAGTTTTCACTAAAGATAAAAAATTGAGGCAACTTTTGGAACTATACATTACCCCCTTTTGATAGGGTAATGGAAATTGACAGGGTGGGTTATTGATGGAAATGATGTCATAACTAGTCTGAAGACTATGTTATGTTAACTAAGTATGTTATTACTTAGTCTGTTTAAATTCCCCTTGATGAATGAGGGAAGATTGTTAAATACCTTGTATGGTGATAGTCTGCCCTTTATTTTTTTAAGTTTAACCAGTAAAGACTATAATAAAAGGTAAGATTTTTAAAAATTGCTGATAGAAAAGAATCACAAGCAATAGAAACGGAAACAACAGATTTTTATTTTGTATTTTAGAACACTTGGCTTGTAATTTGCATCTAATGTTTGCTTGCATATTGTCATAAAATTAACAGTTTTAAGGTAGTACGTTTGACATGTGTGTATTTTTATAACAGCCTATTAAAATGATGTGGAAGATTATACTTTTAAATATGCCCACTTTGTTTTTTTAAACTCATTGTAGTCTTAGTCTTTCCTCCAATAAAATTGTTGTGTCTTTATATGGCAAATGTATAGTTATTATAAGCATTCTCACGCATGTGATCCCAGCACTTTGGGAGGCCAAGGCAGGTGGATCACGAGGTCAGGAGATCAAGACCATCCTGACTAACATGGTGAAACCCTGTCTCTACTAAAAATAAAAAAAAATTAGCCGGGCGTGGTGGCGGGTGCCTGTAGTCCCAGCTACTCGGGAGGCTGAGGCAGGAGAATGGCGTGAACCTGGGAGGCGGAGCTTGCAGTAAGCTGAGACCGTGCCACTGCACTCCAGCCTGGGTGACAGAGTGGCACTCCGTCTCAAAAATAATAATAATTATTATTATTATTAAAATTTTATTCAGTTTATACCTCATGTAGCTTCAGTCATTTTGCAGACTTAAGAATGGCATGTGAGATTAAACATTCTCTAGGAAGCATAGCAGAGTATGACTGACAACTTTACATGAATTTTTTAGACATAATGGTAAACAAAAATTCAGCCTAATTATTAGCTGTGCTTTCTTGGATAAGTTATTTAGATTCTCTAAGCTGTTGTCTCACAAGTAAAATGGAGATATGTCTGCCTCATAGGCTATTAAGAGGATAGCATTCTCATACAGCAGTGTTACAAATGATGTATCATAAAATAATAGTCCAACCACCTGCCACATTTCAGAAACAAAAAAAGATTTATACTTTACATGCAATAGACATACAAAAAATTTTAAATTCTGAGGGAAAAAAATGAAAATGCCCCACACATTTGAGTCATTTATATATTAATCTGGAAAGAAATGCTATCTTTCTGTAACTTCTGTTTTATATTTTTATTTCAGCATTCACCCTGTGTGCATGAGCTGTATTAAATGTATCTGACATACATATATATATATATATTTTGTTTGTTTTGTTTTGTTTGTTTAGACAGGGTCTTGCTCTATTGCCCAAGCTAGAGTGCAGTGGTGCAGTCTCTGCTCACTGTAACCTTCGCCTCCTGGGTTCAAGCAATTCTCCTGTCTCAGCCTCCCGAGTAGCTGGGACTACAGGCGTACGCCACCACACCCAGCTAATTTTTTTACACATACATATAGTGGAGATGGGGTTTCACTGTGTTGGCCAGGCTGGTCTTGAACTCTTAACCTCAAGTGATCCGCCCACCTCAGCCTCCCAAAGTGCTGGGATTACAGGCCTGAGCCACCGCATGGGGCATACTTACTTTGATTTTTATTTGCAATTACTAGTTGAAAATCTGTTGTAAAATGAAGAATTAAATTATTTTTATTCTAATTAATTAGTCCCCATACTCTTCTATCAGAATATCCTTCAGGTGGATTTTCCAGAAGGAGTAATTATCTATGTCTTAAGTAAGGGTCAGGAATCTGTATTCTTAAACAGGCCTCATAGATTGAGTAGCTGTCATTCCAATCCCAGAGGGTAGAAAATAATGAAAAATGAAGGCTAGACAGATTTCTTTATTTTGTGGTGGTTTCACTTACGGTCTCCCCCAGCACCCCTTGCCCCGCGGAGGACCTGCTTTATCTCCACAGATTCTGCATCCTTGGATAAAGGTGAAACTTGTAGATACGGAGGTCTTGCCTTTCGTATCCATAGTTTACATAAGGCTAAACTACTGGAGTTCAGCTTCCACAGATTTTTGGTTTCTTGTGTGGGTCCTGGAACCAATTAAAGTTCTCATGAATGAACATGAAAGATGTAAATAGCACAGAAGATTGGCACACTGTCGTATGAGATAAGCTCTGGCCTAAGGGTCTTGGCTGACTAGCTGCATGTCCCATACCTTTTGGACCATTGGACCATTGGACCATAGTGACCTCATCTGTGGAATTATAGTACTGATCTACATGTCCTATATACACTCTTAGGCAGATAGTGATTAAACAGTCATGAATGATAGTGGGGACTGAATGACGAAATGAAAAGACCTTATCTCTTTTAATACTTTTGGTGCAGAACATAGCTGCTTTTAGACTACCAGCAGCAGAAGTATGAATATGGATGACCTGTTTATGTGTTTGTTTTTAACCAATTCTGGGATAATTTGAGACTAATGGGAAAATTGCAAAACTATACCCTTCACCCATGTTTTCCAGATGTTACCGCTTTATCACATTGGCTGTATGATTCTCTCTCCCTCTCTTCTTCCCCTCATCCACAACACTATTTGGGTTTACTTTTGAAAGGAAGTTGCAAGTGGGCCAGCGTGGTGGCTCACCTCTGTAATCTCAGCACTTTTGGAGGCTGAGGTGGGCAGATCACTTGAGGTCAGGAGTTTGAGACCAGCCTAGCCAACATGGTGAAACCCCGTCTCTACTAAAAAAAAATACAAACTTAGCCGGGCATGGTGGTACGCACCTGTAATCCCAGCTACTCGGGAGGCTGAGGCAGGAGAATCACTTGAACCCAGGAAGGGGAGATTGCAGTGAGCCAAGATTGCATCACTGCACTCCAGCCTGGGTGACAGAGTGAGACCTGTCTCAAAAAAAAAAAAAAAGTTACAGGCATGATGTCCCTTACTCAAAAGTACATTAGTGTATGTTTCTTGACAGTAAGTATATGTTTTCATATAACCACAATTTCTGAAGTCAGGAAATTAACACTGATAAACCACTAATCAAAGCAGCCAACTTTATTCCAACTTTGCTACTTATCACACTGATTACCTTTATAAGAAAGAGAAAGGGAGATTGACAATGGGGGCCCATTGTCAAATTGAGGATCACGGATTACTTTCATCACTGCTCTTTTCTTTAATCTCGAACTGTTTCTGTTTTTTATGACCTTGACATTTTTAAAGGGTATAGGCCTGTTTCATAGAATGTCTCAATCTCCAGATATTTTAGATGACCTGCTTTCAATATTTAGACAACAAAATTTAAAATGTCTAATGTATGTTAAAAATTGGGTTTTACACACTTATTTGTGAGAGAAAAGGTATGCTTCCCTGGGTGAAATTAATTGGTGATAGTTCGTCCTTTCAGTGAATTAGTTTCTGGAGAATATTTTTTTCTTTTTCTCTTTTTTTTTTTTTGGTGGGGGGGTTGTTGTTGTTGTTGTTTTGTTTTGTTTCGTTTTTGAGACAAGGTCTTGCTCTGTTGTCCAGGCTGGAGTGCAGTGGCACAATCTCATCTCATTGCAACCTCTGCCTCCCAGGCTCAAGCGATCCTCGCAACCTCACCCTCCCCAAGTAGCTGGGACTACAGGCACACACCACCACTCCTGGCTAATTTTTGTATTTTTTGTAGAGATGGGGTTTTGCCATGTTGCCCAAGCTGGTCTCAGACTCATGACCTCGAGCTATGTGCCTTCCTCAGCCTCCCAAAAATGCTGGGATTATAGGCGTGAGCCACCGCGCCTGGCCAAATTTGTAAATTTCATATATGAGAAGACCACTTAGTCTTCTAGAACTGAATGTCTATGGTTTTTTAAAATTCAAGGCAGTGTAATATTATTAGATATTGTATACGATGTGCACAGGAGTTCTGTTGTTAGGAGCTGATAGAATATCAATAAAAGAATACCTAGATATGGGAGAAATTCCTGTTGCTTATTGGCAGGATATTTGGGAGGTACCAAATAAAACCGGCTTCTTCATTTCCTGGGGTGAGTACGTATTTTGAATTTGGTGTCGAAAATCTTTAATGCATTAAGGGTGTTTGAGGTAATGATAAGAAATAGTAACGAGTAAGTGGGGTGGGGGATGTGAACAGTTAGGGTACTACTAAGAAATTTGTGTGAAAAATAGGTTTGGATTAATGACTTGAAAACTAGGTTGAAGATCTTAGAGCAAGTACTCTTATCAGGATGCTGTAGGTTTTTATCATAAAGTGACATCATCAAAAATGGACTTTGAAAGGAAAAATACAATTGATGTGTATAAAATTGGATTGGTGAATCTTAAATTCAGCTGATTAAGAAAAAATTTTAACCAAATTGAAATGATAAGCAAAGCACCCCTGCCCTTCTAAAAGGGCAAAGATGCTAGAGAAAACCCAGTGGCTGTGCAGATGTGATAAGGACCCAATTTTAAAGAATCAGATGGGCTAGTGATCAATTATTGTTACGAACAGTTAGAAATACGTAAACAAATAATGGAAGTGGAAAGGCTGGCAGTAGTGAGACAGTATTGAAACACTGAACTCTTGAACGTTTTGAATATCATGCATGGGTGCTGAGATAGTTAAGTATAACTGGACCAAACAAGAATTTGATCTTAGTGATTTTGGTGTGTAAGATAGCTTCTTAAATTACATGCCTTTTTTTTTTTTTTTGTGACGGTTTCGCTCTGGCACCCAGGCTGGACTGCGGTGGTGCAATCTCTGCTCACTGCAACCTCCGTATCCCGGGTTCAAGCGATTCTCCTGCCTCAGCCTCCTGAGTAGCTGGGATTACAGGTGCACGCCACCGCGCCCAGCTAATTTTTTTTTGTATTTTTAGTAGAGGTGGGATTTCACCATGTTGGTCAGGCTGGTCTAGACATTGTTCCAGGCACCAGGTAGCTAGCATGTAAATTAATTTTATGGCTCTTGGATTGGAGATGGGGCTGGGGATTCAAATAAATAATGCATAATATGCTATGTAATAGGAAGTTCAATGAAAAAAAGTAAAGCTAGGACAGTAGGGACAGAAAGTGAAAGAGGAATGTTCTAACCCAATTTACTCTCCAGGATTTGACTGTTTTACTGCTCTCTGTCCTTGTAGTCCTTTTCGACCTTTAATACCTCCGTATAGCTTTGCACTGACAGTGTATCCTTGGGACCATCTCTACCCTGTGGCCTGGATTGTATATATAGTACTACTCTGCATAGATTTTGCATATAATAATAGCATGATGCTGGTAGTGGATTTTGTTTTTCTGAACTCTACTAATGTGTATTTTACAACTATCTATACATTTTTCTTTTTTAAAAGGACACTGTCAAGTACTTTTAAACTGTTAATTGTAATTTTAAAAATTTCCTGCATGTATTTATTTTTATTTCTATTGACTGCTCTTTGATTTTCTTTCTTGGAACGGAATGTAAGTTAAAAATGTTTTTTATTTATTGTAAATGATAAGGCTCTAGGAATAATAACTGCTGTTTATTAATACTATTGTTTGTGAAATAGTGGATTTATGTCAAATATATATATATATATATATATATATATATTTTTTTTTTTTTTTTTTTTTTTTTTTTTTTTGAGACAGAGTGTTGCTGTGTCACCCAGGCTGGAGTGCAGTAGTGTGATCTTGGTTCACTGCAACCTCCGCCTCCCAGGTTCAAGCGATTCTCCTGCCTCAGCCTCCTGAGTAGCTGGGATTACAGGTGCCCGCCACCACGCCTGGCTAATTTTTGTATTTTTAGTAGAGACAGGGTTTCACCACGTTGGCCAGGCTGGTCTCAAACTCCTGACCTCGTGATCCGCCCTCCTCGACCATCCAAAGTGCTGGGATTACAGGCATGAGCCACGACGCCCAACCTTATGTCAAATATTTTAAATAAAAATTTTAAAATCTTAAAATAGTGTATAATTTAGATTTATTACCTAATATTGTGGCTTTTTAAAGTTCATACCATCAGTGGTATGATGGTAAGAATTGATTTATTTTTACATAGAAGTATATATGACCGAATGCAAAAACTAGAGATTTAACATTCAATGTTATTGTGTTAATAATGCTAATGAATTTCAGTCTATTTCAGTGGCTTAAAATGTAAGTTTGCTAGCAATTTAAACTTGCTTGTTAATGTAACTGAAAATTTTGTTGGTAGTTTCAGTGTTCTGACATTTATGAGTGCATATGACACTAGATCATATAATTAAGTTTTAAACTAAGCTGCTGAAGAATAAATACACACTTATTTTTCTCATGTTTTCTAGTCTCTTTATCATATAGCCACATACATGAGGTATATGGGTGAGATTTTCCCCTCCCAATTTTAATTTTCTGTCATAACAAGTAGGAATTAGTGGGGGGAAATATTTCTTTATTGACTGAATTTGTAGCTAAAGTAAATTTTATTTGAGGAATAACTTTGTCAAAAATACTTGCTGACCATAGCTGCTTTGTTGTAGGAGGACTGACAAATGGTAGTGGTCGATATATCTCTGCAGCACCTGGAGCAGAAGCAAAATATCGAAGTGCTTCAAGCACTTCCAGTCTATTTAGCTCCAGCAGCCAGCTCTTTCCTCCTTCCCGGCTTCGGTATAATAGGTCTGATATTATGCCTTCTGGCCGCAGTAGATTATTGGAAGATTTCAGAAACAACCGCTTCCCAAACCTTCAGCTTAGAGACTTGATTGGACATATAGTTGAGTTTTCTCAAGACCAGCATGGTTCTAGGTAGGTGATTATGATATTTCTCACTTCATTTTTGCTTTGAAAATTGCTGCCTTATAAAAGCTTAAATTTTTCTGGACTTTAGTCTGCATTAAAGTTGGAAGCTTTTAAGAGCTAAAATTCAATATGGATTATATGTTTTTTCTTTCATGTTAGGATAAATTATAAAAATACGGGTTTTAATTTTTTATAGTTTTCCAGTTTTTTACAGTGAGAATATTGTTATGATGAGAATATAGCAGGGCCCCCTCCATTGGATTATTTTGATTACATCGGCTCTGTATTACATTTGTGGGCTTAAGTGACCCTCATGGTGTGTTTAAAAAATATAGCAAACAATGTTAAATGCCTTTGTGTTGCATTATAGGTTGGTATTCAGTGTGACTTGGCTTAGACTGAAACATTTCACATTTGTTATAGGAAAATTTGGTGCCTTTTTACATTAAAACGAATGTAATACATGAGAGATACATCTGAATTAACATTGTAAAGATAGCTTAGAAAGGAAAATAGAATTGTAACACATTTGATAAATTTAAGATATTTTCTCTCTTTATAGCTTTAAGGTAAACCTCAAGTTTTTAAGTCATTTTAGATTAGATGGTGTACAAATTTTGTCTCCCTATACAGTCATGCATCACTTAATGACGGGGATACGTTCTAGAAAATACGTTGTTGTGTGAACATTAAAGAGTGTACCTATGCAAACCTAGATGGCATAGCCTACTACACACCTACTCTGTATATTGCGCCTAGGCTGCAAATCTGTACAGCATGTCACTGTACTGAATACTGTAGGCATTTGTAACAATGGTATTTGTATACCTACGCATAATAAACAATAGAAAAGATACAGTTAAACTATAGTATAAAAGATTAAAAAATCATATGCGTGTGTAGGGGACTTAATGTGAATGGAGCTTGCAGGACTGGAAGTTGCTCCGGGTGAGTGAGTGAGTTGTGAGTATATGCGAAGGCATAGGACATTACTGTACACTCCTCTAGACTTTATAAACACTGTACACTTCAACTACACTGAATTTATTTAAAACTTTTTTTCTTCAATAATAAATTAACCTTAATGTAACTTCTCCCCACTTTGAGACAGGGTCTTACTCTGTTATCCAGGCTGGAATACAGTAGCATGATCATCACTCACTGCAACCTCAACCTCCTGGGCTCAAGCAGTCCTCCCACCTAAGCATCCCGAATAGCTGGGACTACAGGCACGCACCATCACACCTGGCTAATTACTTAAAATTTTTTTGTAGAGACAGGGTCTCACTGTGTTGCCAGGCTGAGCTTACTGTAACATTTAAGCTTTTTAATTTTTTTTAACTTACTGACTTGTAATAACACTTAGCTTAGAACAGAAACACATTGTACAGCTGTACGAAAATATTTCCTTTGTATGCTTATTCTATGAGACTTTTTCTGTTTACAGATTTTTTAAACTTTTTGTTAAGAACTAAGACACAAATGCACACATTAGCCTATACAGTGTAAAGATCATCAGTTTCACTTTGTTCTAACTCCATGTCTTCTTCCACTAGGAGATCTTTAGCAGCAACACCTATGGAGCTGTCCTCTCCTATGATAACAGTGCTTTTTCTGGAATACCTTCTGAAATCTACCTGAGGGTGTTTTACTTTTTTTTTTTTTTTTAAACAAGTGGAATACACTCTAAAATAACAATAAAAAGTATACTAAATACACAAACCAGTAACTCAGTTGTTTATTATCAGATACCGTACACAATTATATGTACTACACTTTTTTTTTTTTTTTTTTTTTTTTTTTTGGAGACAGAGTCTCACTCTGTCGCTTAGGCTGGAGTGCAATGGCATGATCTCGGCTCACTGCAACCTCCTCCGCCTCCTGGGTTCAAGTGATTCTCCTGCCTCAGCCTCCTGAGTAGCTGGGCTTACAGGCGTCTGCCACCGTGCCCAACTAATTTTTATATTTTTGGTAGAGACAGGGTTTCACCATGTTGGCCAGGCTGGTCTCGAACTCCTGACCTCAGGTGATCCACCCACCTCTGCCTCCCAGAGTGCTGAGATTACATGCGTGAGCCACTGCACCCGGCCATACTATACTTTTATAAACTGACAGTGCAGTAGGTTTATGTCATCATGAACACCTGAGTAACGTATTGCACTATGATGTTATGACAGTTCCTACCCAATAGGAATTTATCTCCATTATAATCTTATGGGACCACCATTGTATATGTGGCTTGTTGTCAATTGAAATGTGGTTAAGCAGTGCATGACTGTAGTTGGTAGTTCCTTCAGAGTAACAAATGAGCCTTGTGTCACCCAGAATGGCTTTCTTGCTTAGGAATTCATTCATGTTGGATGAATTTTACTTCTAAGGGTTTCCTTTATTATGTTCTAAAAGTTAGATGTTTAGTAATACATTGTATATTATGAAAAATAAATGAATAAGCAGCAAAATTTACGTAATTTTCTTATTGATTATAATGTAACCAACCTAAGAAAGATTAAACATCTTTATATCCAGGTTTTTTGTCACTCTATCTTTAGATAAGGTGTTATAAAGAAATGCTATATAACTTTTGTCCTTTTTGCTGTAAGTTAGCTGTCTACTATATAAAGTATGGTAATATTTATGGAAATAACTTGCAGTGCATATATGTGGAAGGGTAGGGTGTAATACTCAAGTGTATTAAAAAACATATTGTCATATTAAAAATGTTCCCTATGTAGATTCATACAGCAAAAACTAGAGAGAGCTACTCCAGCTGAGCGACAGATGGTATTTAATGAAATTCTGCAAGCAGCCTATCAATTAATGACTGATGTTTTTGGCAACTATGTTATACAGAAGTTTTTTGAGGTAAGGATTCATGCATATTTGTATATCCGCCCATCCAGCTGTTGTATACTTGATGCTAAGAAAAGCTCTGAAAGTTGGGTAAAGTCATTTTCATATAAAAAAAGATAATAAGCCAGGGATAAGATATTTACAAATTATATATGCGGTAAACATTTTATCCAGGATATATTGTAATGAACTCCTAAAAAGTCAACAACAAAAAGACAACCCAAATGACAAATGGACAAAGGACTTGCACAGACATTTCTCTATGTAAAATAATACAAAAGGCCACATAGGCCATGAAAAGATGCTCAACATCCTTACTAATCAGGGAAATGCAGATCAATCTCACAATGAGATACCATTTTATACCTACTAAGATGACTGTAATCGGAAAACATAAAATCGGAAAATAACAAATGTGGATGAGGATATGGAGAAATTAGAGCCCTCATAAATTGCTGGTGGAAATGTAAAATGGTGTAGCTGCTATGGAAAACAGTTTGGCAGTTTCTCAAAATTAAATATTGAATCACCACACAATCCAGCAATTGTACTCCTAGGGGTACAATTGAAAGCAAATGAATTGAAAGCAGGAACCTGAACACCAGTATATATTGCACCATTATTCACGATAGCCAAAAGGCGGAAACAGCCCAAGTGTCCGTCAACAGATGAGTAGATAAATACAAGTGGTATATGTATACATTATAGAATATTATTCAGCCATAAAAAGGAATGACGTTCTGATACATACTACAACATGGATGGACCTTGAAAATACTAACTTAAGTGAAACAAGCCACACACAAAAGGACAAACATTGATAGTGATCTACCAGTATGAAATGTCTAGAATAACTAATAGTGGCATAAAGTAGATTAGGGGTTACTGGGCCTAGAGGAAGAAGGGTTTAGAAAGTTACCATTTAATGGATACAGCATTTGTGTTTGAGGCCACGGAAAAGATTTGGAAACAAATAGTGATAGTGATGGTGGTTGCACAACAGTGTGAATATAATTAATGCTACTCAATCACCTAGCTAAAAATGGTTCAAATGGCAGTTTGTCACAAAAAAAATTTTAACATGAACCACTTTAAATGAAAATTTGCTATTAATCCTGATTCATATTTGAAAATATAAAGCATTGGTAGTCAATCTTTGGTAAAGTAGTTAATGAATAACACTATAGTCTTTGGATTTATAGATGTGTGTTATTTTACAGTTTAGCCAATTTTTAAATTTATAAGCATCTGTGTTGTAGCTTAATGACTTTAACAGTTTTTTCCTCAATCATATCAGAATGTAGTTTGATGATTATCTGGGTGAAGAGTTTTGGTGGTCAACGTATGGCTAAGAAAGTTATATATTAAAGATGAAGGGTTTTGGCCGGGCGCGGTGGCTCACGCCTGTAATCCCAGCACTTTGGGAGGCCGAGGCGGGTGGATCATGAGGTCAGGAGATCGAGACCATCCTGGCTAACAAGGTGAAACCCCGTCTCTACTAAAAATACAAAAAATTAGCCGGGCGCGGTGGCGGGCGCCTGTAGTCCCAGCTACTCGGGAGGCTGAGGCAGGAGAATGGCGTGAACCCGGGAAGCAGAGCTTGCAGTGAGCCGAGATTGTGCCACTGCAGTCCGCAGTCCAGCCTGGGCGACAGAGCGAGACTCCGTCTCAACAAAAAAAAAAAAAAAAAAAAAAAAAGATGAAGGGTTTTGTAAAGATGTTCACTTTAAAAGAGTGTTTCTTTAAAAGGTAGTTAACATATTAGTAACAAGGAAATTTTAGTAAGACTTAACCCAAAGAAGTAATAAAAAATTATTATTGGAAACATTTCCCAGTCTATCTTAATTAGCTTCTACCTTAAAGCCCCTGCCCTACATAGTTACTGATAGAATGAATAGACTGCAAACACTGCCTTACTCAAGTTCAACAAAGCAATATTAAGGTCACTTGTTATTAATGTTATATCTTTTCTGTCAGTTTGGGAGTCTGGATCAAAAATTAGCCCTGGCTACTCGTATTCGTGGTCATGTTCTACCCTTAGCCTTGCAGATGTATGGCTGCCGCGTTATTCAGAAAGCATTAGAATCTATTTCTTCTGACCAGCAGGTAATTGTAAGTTAAGACAAAATTTTTGTATTATTTTATTCAATTTTTAAATTATTACATGTTTTTAATCTTACAGTAATCTTGAAGTGAAAAGACTTAAATATTTCCACAACTAGACTAAAATGTTGTTACTGTGTCCTAAATAGCACACTACTAATTAGAAGTCACAAAGTAGATAATTTCTAAATGAAGATATTTTAGCACCTATGTGGCAAGCAGAATGTTAAATGATGAGTGTTTTTATTACTACTTGCTTACTTGATTTTCTGCAATGTGAGAATGCATGTTACTATTTTCCAGTGCTTATTTTGATGGTGTCTAATGTTTCTATTATAAGAAGAAAATTTTTGGAACCAATAGCATTACTATATGTCAGTTTTATTTACATATATGAAAATGTTTTTTTTAAAAATATAGCCCAGCAGAAAAGTAACTCAAGATTCCTCTTTAAAAATTTATAATTTTTTGAGAAAAACAAGAACACGTAAATTAAATGAGAAATATTCTGTGTTATTGGATGGAAAGTCTAAATATTTCACATTAATAAAGGAATTGTTGATCAAAATAATGCTTAAAATCATTTGAAATAGACAAGAATATTGAGAGTAGGGGATGAAGATAAATGCTGATCCACCAGATTTTTAAAATACACTGTGAAGCAACACTAATTAGTGGGGTTATTGTATAGAAGATTAAACAGACTTTTAATAAGAAATTTATAGCCCCAAATCAATACTGTTTTCTGACTACATGATTTATGTATTACAATGAAAGCATAAGACTGAAGGAAATAATTATTTCTTAAAAGGTAATGGTAGTTTAAGTTTGGAAAGAGATTATCTTTGACTCATACAATAAAAGAAAATTTCAATAAATAGTAATATATGGATGGATGACTATATATGTGTATATATTCATCACTGCATTAAAATCTGTGAGAAAATACTATTATTCCTCCAGAGGAAATTCTGAGTTTTACAGTAATTTTAATGTGTGTCACAATGGAGAAATATAAACACATTTAATTATTTAAAAGCTTAGAAACTTCTCTGCCACAAGTTTCTAACTGGTATAGATATTTTTAAAATGTCTTTGATATTTAAAAATAAAAGCATTAGCAGTAAGTCTTTGTTGAAACAGTTAATGAATAACAATATTATTTGGATTTCTTTTTTTTTTTTTTTTTTTTTTTTTTTTTTGAGACGGAATCTTGCTGTGTCGCCCAGGCTGGAGTGCAGTGGCACAATCTTGGCTCACTGCAACCTCCGCCTCCCAGGTTCAAGTGATTCTCCTGCCTCAGCCTCCGAAGTAGCTGGGATTACAGACATGCGCCACCACGTCTGGCTAGTTTTTTGTATTTTTGGTAGTAATCGGAGCCATGTCGCCCGGGCTGGTCTCAAAACTCCTGAGCTCAGGTGATCCACCAGCCTCAGGCTCCCAAAGTGCTGGGATTACAGGTGTGAGCCATCGCATCTGGCTATAAGCACTTTATTATAAGAGCATTTTATAAAAGAACAAAGATACCTGACATTAATTCTTCCCTTAGGGAATTATTGAGATAATATGTAAAAATCATAGCCCATAAGTAGTCATCAACTTCTTAGCCTTTTCTATGTACTTGATAAACTCACTCAGCCATTAAAAATAATTCCTTTGGTGGTGGAGGTGGTACTAAGTAAGGCGGAAGTGTGTAATTCTGAATTAGTCATGTTAGTTACCGCCCGATAAATATTAGCGGATGATTTACACAGTGAAGACAGTTTAAATACAGCAAGTTCAGCATCACTACGTTGTTTCAACATACATCATTTACATTATAATCCTGCAGTGTGTTTTAGTAATTTTCACTTTTCAATGGTTTCTGCTAATTATACTACAAGAGAAAAAAATTTAAACCCTTGACAAACAGGAAATAATATTTGTGAATATATTTGTGTTCCCATCTCAGTATTTTTAATACTGAGATAAATATACTGAGATTTTTAATATTTTTAATTTTTAATACTGAGATAAAATATACTAGTATTTTCTCGTTTGAGGTAATAATTTAAATGACATCCTGTCTTTTGCAGAGTGAAATGGTAAAGGAGCTGGATGGTCATGTGCTCAAATGTGTGAAAGATCAGAATGGAAACCATGTTGTACAAAAATGTATCGAATGTGTTCAGCCACAGTCACTACAGTTCATCATTGATGCTTTCAAGGGACAAGTATGTTTGAGTTTTGGCTTATAATTTGTTAGCAGGGCATTATTTTAGAATTTTGAATATCAACACGTTTTTCATGAGTCACTAGATAATACCCAGCAATTGTATACAAAAATAGGATACAAAACAGTAAATGTACATTAATTTCTTCCTCTTTCATAGTCAGTAGATAGCTTCATTTTTCTGAAGCTGCAAAACAAATAGTTTAATCACATTACTTTAAGAAGTAAAGGTAATCACTGTTAGAATTGTTTTTTATTTATACCCAACGATGTTTTCAGGTTTACTCAGAGAAGGGAAGGAGGTTTGGAGAAAGACATAAGACTGTATAATAAGACAGAAAACACATAGCAATTTGTAACTAATACATAGTAATTAATATTTCTTAATGCTGAACTACCCTTTCTCTTTTCACCCATTCATTCCCATTGTTACATAACCTCAGGTTCAGGTAAAGTTCTGGTTAGGTTCCTTTTGATCAAAATATCTTCAGCTCCTAAATGGAGTGCTCCCTGTCCCCACTCTCCAGTCTTTTCTAACATGGTGGTAGTCATATTAAATGTGAGTTCATCACCCTTCTATTTCAAACTGCTTTTAGGTGTTGTCAAAAAAAAAAAAAACAAACCAGTCTGCTTCATAGAACTGTTCAAAAATGTCAGAGAATACAAATTTTAATTCTTCTAATTGTCCTCAGGTATTTGTGCTTTCAACTCATCCTTATGGCTGCAGAGTAATTCAGCGCATCCTAGAGCATTGCACTGCAGAACAGACCTTACCTATCTTAGAAGAACTCCACCAACATACAGAGCAGTTGGTACAGGTATAAATTCCCTAATAATTTGAAATGTTTATATATTTTTGGAAATTGTTTTAATTTTTAAAAGAAATACAATTTGTTACTAAACACACTATAGACAAGAGTGAGACAAAAGGCTGTTGTATTCTCCTAACTATCCTACTGGATTTTTAGATGAAATGATTAACATGTCTTTAAAGAATATCATTCTTAAGGAATGACTTAGGGAAAGTAATTTTTAAATATCTGTCTTAGGATCAGTATGGCAATTATGTTATTCAGCATGTACTGGAACACGGTCGACCTGAAGACAAGAGCAAAATTGTTTCCGAAATCAGGGGAAAGGTTTTAGCCCTGAGTCAACACAAATTTGCCAGGTATTGTAATACTTTGTAATTTTAAGGGTCAATTCTTTCAACTCATTGACTTTTATTAGTTATCACAGAAATACGTGTAGCATGTAGCATTAAACTGTAGTCTTTTTTTTTTGGTATCATTAAAATGCACCTATAGAACATTGCTTTTGTTTTTTAAAAAAATCTACATAACAAATTTGTTTTGCCCACATATGTTCATTTATGAAATCTGTATTTGGAAAATAATTACTCCCGACACTGGAAATGCAGATTTATTTAGTACATGTTTCTTGAAAACCTCACAGCTTTAATGATCTGGTTTCCTTTTTTTTGAAGTACAATTTTAAGAGACCTGTAATTAAACTTGTGGATGTCAAAATGATGTAGGTTGTTCCAAGATACCAATTTCTGTTATAAAAGTAATTGGCTGGGTACAGTGTCTCACACGTGTAATCCCAGCCAGCACTTTGGGAGATCAAGGCAGGAGGATCAGTCGAGCCCAGGAATTCGAGATCAGCCTGGACAACATAGAGGGAGATCCTTTCTCTACAAAAAATTATCCAGGCGTGGTGGCGCATGCCTGTAGTCTCAGCTATGGGGGAGGCTGAGGTGGGAGAATCACTTCAGCAAGGGAGGTCAAGGCTGCAGTGAGCGGTGATAGCATCACTGCACTCCAGCCCGGGTGACAGAACAAGACCCTGTCTCAAAAAAAAAAAGAACAAAATAAAATAAAAGTAATCATAAGACAAGAGAATCCCATCCTGACTTCTGTTTTATTGTTCATTGGAGAAGATTCTTTCTATAAGTCAAGGAAATTTTGCTGTGAAGAAAAAAATAACAAATCTTTGTTTATCTGCTTTAATTTTTAGCAATGTAGTAGAAAAGTGTGTTACTCATGCCTCCCGTGCTGAGAGAGCTTTACTGATTGACGAGGTTTGCTGCCAGAATGATGGTCCTCACAGTGCCTTATACACCATGATGAAGGACCAGTATGCCAATTACGTGGTTCAAAAGATGATTGATATGGCTGAACCTGCTCAGAGAAAGATAATCATGCACAAGGTAATACAGCATGTAACACTCAGATAACTGTTTGTCTTTGTGTTTAGGCTACACATTTAACCTCCTTGGGCTTTCATTTCCTCCCGTATGTTATAACTGGAGGAAAAATTAAAATCGATGGATATCCTTTGGCAGATATATTGGTATGGTTTCCATTTTTATGCTTAAGGTTATCATGGCCAGGCATGGGGGCTTTTGCCCATAATTCCAGCAGATTGGGAGGCTGAGGTGACAAGATCACTTGAGCCCAGGAGTTTGAGACCAGCCTGAGCAATGTGGCAAGACCCTCCCTCTACAAAAAAAAAAAAAGAAAAACAATTAGACAAGCATCATGGTGCAACCCTTTAGTCCCAGCTACTTGGGAGGCTGTGGTGGGAGACCACTTGAGCCCAGGAGTTCAAGACCAGTCTGGACAACATAGACCCCCATCTCTACAAAAAATTTAAAAATTAGCTGGGTATGACGATACATGCCTGTGGTCCCAGCTACTCAGGCAGCTGAGATGGGAGGATCGCCTGAGTCCCGGAGGTTGAGGCTACAGTGGGCTGTGTTCATGCCAGTGCACTCCAGTCTGGGCAACAGAGCAAGACCCTGTCTCAAAAAATAAATCAGTCATTCAAAAGAAATTCTTAAGGAATCATATTCATTTCTCATCTGTTACCTATGTTTTACATTGTTCTTTTTGCCTTCATCTTATTTAACTGTACAGTTGCCCGTCAGTAACTGGGGGATTGGTTGCAGGACCCACCCACTCCTGTGCCAAAATTCACGGATGCTCAAGTCCCTTATATAAAATAGCGTATAGTATTTGCATATAACCTAAACATATCCTCCCATATACTCATCTCAAGATTACTTAACGATACCTAATACAGTGTAAGTGCTATGTAAATAGTCATACTGTAATGATAAGTAAAAAATCTGTTTAATACAGACTTTGTCATTTTTAAAAATATTTTTGATCAGTGGTTGAATCCACATATGCAGATGGCAAACTACATTTAATTTACCATAATACATGGGTTGAACATTGATTTTAACCTAATACATTTTTCTAAGTAGAATTTTGTGTTTATGTTGTGGGGAGGTAGTACTAACTCATAAAATTCCCTTTAAGCTGTTTCCTCTCTGTATCCTCCTCCTAGAATCTAATAATTCTTTAAGAAATTAGTAATTGCAGCAGGAAAACTTATAAAGAAAACTGAAAGAACACTGAAAAAAACACTTATTTTGAATACTCTTGATCTTAATGAATTCATTTACAAAACATGAATTACATAACCCCTTTGGTCGTCTCCTCATATAGAGAGAAAAATGATATCTTAGGATTCCTTCCATCTGTAAAAGTGTTTTGGTCTTCTGATTTTTAAAATTCATTCTTCAACTTGATGTAAGTTTTCCTTTCTTTTTCTTTCAAGACAGGGTCTCTGTTGCACAGGCTGGAGTGCAGTGGTGTAATCTCGGCTAACTCTAGCCTCAACTTCCTGGCTCAAGCCATCCTCCCACTTTAGTCTCCTTAGTAGCTGAGACTACAGGCATGCATGCTTTTAGTTTTGTTTATATTTTGTAGAGATGCGGTCTCGCTATGTTGCCCAGTCTGGTCCCAAAGTACTGGCCTCTAAGTGTCTACCTATCTTTTAATTGAGTGTTTCTGCTGTAAACTAATGAATATAAAAAATTGCAATCTTATTTTTAACAGCTGCGTTAGTTATTTAACTGGTATCATATTTATTATATTTGGATCCTCCCTAATTGTTTAATTGTTATAAGTAGTGCTTTGTACAAAAGTCTTTTTGTAATTTTTTTGGTGGAATAAATTCCTGGATGTGGAATTACTGGGTAACTTTCTTGCTATGTTTGGGGCCTCTGCCTGTTTCCACGTGACATAGTTAGATGTAGTGTTTTATTCATTGAACAATTTCGAGAACAGATGTTTGGAGGGATTGAGCAGATCACAACTGCTTTTGCAAAAAGTAGCTTTCTTTGGATTTAAATTTTTTTTAATTGCAGTTATTCCTCTAAATTACCCAGAATTGGGGGTGCTTTTTTAAGAAATCAGAAACTAAAATGACTTAGATTTTCTAAGCAGATTATTTGTTTTTCAGATTCGACCTCACATTACTACTTTGCGCAAATACACATACGGGAAGCATATACTGGCCAAGTTGGAAAAGTATTATTTGAAGAATAGCCCGGACCTAGGACCTATTGGAGGACCACCAAATGGAATGCTGTAAATTACAGGAGCAAGAGAAAGAAGATAATTTAACCATGTGAAAAGAATTTTTTTGTGTGTGAATTATCAAAACACAACTCAACTATGAATCTTCAATTTTTTTTTAAAGCAAAACTATTTATTGACTTTATTCATCCATTTGTAAATTTTTTAAGGTTCTTGTGTATATTTGGGGGGTGGGGGATGAATTATAAATTATATTCAGCCCTGAGTGGAGACCTATCAGATTGGATTGCTGGCAAAGCACAGAATGCCTGTATATGATGTAACTGTATCAAAAATAAAAAGCTGTCACATATTTTGTAAATTTTTACCTTGTAAAGTCACAAAAATAGTTTTTAAAGGAAAAAGTACAGTATTCTTTTAATAAACTGGCTCACAGTCTGGTAGGTCTACAACCCCATAGCACAACAGGTTTATAGAGATGTATATAGAATTATAGTCCTTATTTTTTTCCTTTGCGTGAAACCTTTTATAACAGATTAACAATCAACTGCATAAATATTATTAATATTTTAAAAAGAGTTAAGTTGTATTTTGATAATTCACAAACTATCATGCAAATAACGAGTAAGTAGACAAGAATAAAGTGGTTTGAGATGAAAAGAACCTAACATTATTTACAGTAGATGTGGTTTTAATACAATTACTGCCCTAAAATGTCTCTGGCAATGTACAGAAATATTGTATATACTTACATATGTAATTGTTGTAAGAGTTAAATACAAAATCATGGTGACACTTCCAATTAAGTGCACTAAATGAAAAGTTAAGTCACTTATTAACTTTTCAGTTTGGTTTGCAATGAGAAAGAGTGGAAATTTGTATTTTGTTTTGCTTATAGAATTACAGACATGTTGAGGAAGTGTTGAGCTTTATTTTGCTTTTTCATAGAGGCAGAAAGTAGGAACCAGATAGAGATGAAAAGGGGCCACTGAAAAGTGAATTTGATAGCTCAGCATTTAAGCATGATTACATATTCAGATAGCTCTTTTTGCTTTCTATAAATATATGCATTGTGTGTGTAGTAATAGATGTAAGTTTACACTTTGAAAGGAAATCTTGTTTCAATGTTTATTATAAAAGCCTTGCTAATTTAGTAGTGATGCTTTCCTTGGTTGTACAGGTGTACATTTGTAAACCTTCATGCTGTAAATGGAATTTGTTTTATCTCTTTGGGATACATTTGCATTTTAGTGTACATTTACGTCCCTGCCCTCTTTGACCTGGCAATATAGTGTTGTATAATGTAAATTTATTTCTCCAAATCGAGAGTGATTTTTTAAAAATTTTTTATCTTTATATGGTTTCAGAAGTATGAACCAGCTTTCTTTTTATTATTGTGAGATCATTTTGTTTTATAACATAGTTGTTGACTGTTAATATGGACCTGCTAGAATTTGGATCACTTTCAATTGAAGTCAGGGTATTGTGCATAATAGAAAGTATTGGACTGAGATATTTGGTTACCATGGAGGCCAATGCTTTTTTCATCTTATTAAATGTGATGTGACTTTTTTCTTTGTACAGAAGAGTACTGTATTTTTGAATAGCCTACTCCCAAGTAAGAGCAAATCTGTATGATAACATTTTTTCCTCTGGACATAAGACATAACAGTAACACGATGTACATTTACAAGCGGCCTTATGTACATTTCCCAACAATCTTTTTAAGGCAAAATTGTGACCATATGTGTATAATTAAAATCGTTTTTAATCCTTTGCCTATGAAAATATTTTGGAAAAAAACTTGCTGTGTATATTCAGTTTCTGAAAGATAAAGAAAGTGCTTTGTATTTTGTTGAAGTCAGTATTTTGTATAAACATTTATGTTGACCCACTTATGTTCAGTGCTGAAAACTAAAATGAACATGCTATTCTGTCAGCTGAATATGGAAGAGATCTTTTTTTACTAGAGATCTGCAGAAGAAACGCAATCTTCTGAGCACAATATGGAATCTAAAGGTTTTATCACTTAGTTGTTCATATTATGAACCTAAAAATAATGGCATAAAGTTTGGGGATGCCAGGCATACTTTTTCATGTTTGGTGTTGAGTTATTTTACTTTTCTAACCCAACATTCCTTGGTGAGACCATTAAATCCAAACACTTGTCACCGTTCCTTCTCATAGTCACTCTGGGTCATCAGCATGTCCCAGTCACTGCAGCAACGCCTTGTGTTTGTTTCATTTTTTTAAAACCCACACAAAGCCGCTGTCTCACTTTTTCCTACTTTACCAACCTCAGAGTATTTCGGCCCGTATCGAACTTTTGTTCTCAGTATCAGCCCATGGTTTCAGGATCAAAGCTGTCATGTTGGAGATTGGTAATGGCTTTCCTGTCTTTGTACAGTTGAATTCCTAGTCTTCCTTCATCCTTGCCCTCTGTTGGCACAGGCATTATCTCTGCAATTTTAGAAAATGACAAGTAGAGAATACTACATTGAGAAACTAAACCCTCTTCTTGGGGTCCTGATACTCATTCCCATTTGTCCCAGTGCTGACAACCCAATCTTCCCAATACTTTCAGGCCTGCTCTACAAAAGTACCTGTTCTTGTAGAAATTTTACAGTCTGCCATTTTGGGTGCCCACCCCAATTTTTACCTTTTAGTAAGTTGGCATGAAATTTTGGTAAAATCTGAAAATCACATTTCAGAATAAAACAATTGGGCAAAACTACCTAGGCTTTACTCTTGAGTGTCTCCTTTTGATAGGGATTGTTTCTGGACCAGTTTGTCTAAGTCCTGGCTCTTATTGGTTCATATGAAATAATGTTAACTTCACTTCTTTGTATATTATGTATAAATTAGAAAATGAAAAATGTGTGAATAACATTGTATGAAATAAACCTGGTCTTGTGTTTTTCTCTAGATAAAATACCCCTCTGTACCTCAGTTATAACTTAAGATTGATTGCCCATTCAGGTTTACTCCGACGTAAAGAAAACAAACATTTTTAACACATGGGTGCTGTTCTGGAGCCACTGATTCCTCTGATGGTATTAATTCCATGCTTTGATTAGTATTTAGGACCTATAACTGCATACTTCATAGGATAAAACTTTTAGCCCGTTTTCACATGAACTCGAGGAGGCAGTGTTGTCTAAAGGTAAACAATTTAAGTTCAGATGTGGATTTAAAGTTTACCTTATTTACACACCTTGTGAACTTTTCTAAACCTTGAGCCCTTAGTCTGTATCAAGGGATAATACTACTTAACTCATTAGTTTTAACAGTGGAGAATATACAAAAAGATAGTTAGAACCTATTTTTTTCTTTTTAAGAGATGGATTCTTGCCTTGTTGGTCAGGTTGGTCTTGAACTTCTGGCCTCAAGTGGTCTTTTTACTTTGGCCTCCCAAAGTGCTGGGATTACAGGCATGAGCCACTATGCCTGGCCAAGAACCTAATTTTTTTTTTTTTTTTTTTTTTTTGACACAGAGTCTCGCATTGTCGCCCAGGCTGGAGTGTGATGGCGCCATCTCAGCTCACTGCAACCTCTACCTCCCAGCTTCAAGTGATTCTTCTGCCTCAGCCTCCCGAGTGGCTGGGACTACAGGTGCACACCACCACACCCGGCTGATAACTTGTATTTTTAGTAGAGATGGAGTTTCACCATGTTGGCCAGGCTGGTCTCGAGCTCCTGACCTCGTAATCTGCCCGCCGTGGCCTCCGAAAGTGCTGGGATTATTGGCGTGAACCACCACACCCGGCCTGGAACCTAATTCTTAATGAATCGCTTGTTAATACCATTTCTGTTTTTCCCATTCTTTCTACAGCTATAAAAAGAAAAAAAGCCAGAACAATTTGATAGACTCCAAAATGGAAACCTGCATAAAGCTAAGTGGGAAAAAGAAATGTCACCATACACATTGTATTTCCTGAAATTTAATTTTGTCTTGGTTTGGGTCTCTTCTGAGCAACCCTCTTGGATTATTGACATACTACCTCACATTGTATTGAAATTTAAAAGGTCTTAACAAGGAAATACCACATCTTCGCACCCTGGCTTACCAACCTAAGGAAAGCAGTTTCCTAAATTCACCTGGGACTAGATGCCCTCGATGACACTTTCTCTGGAAGATTTTAAAGCAGCAGAGGACAAAGAAACCCCTAAAGGAGCCATATTCATTGTCCACCTTCCCTACCTCACTTAAAAGTACCTAGCTTAACATGCCTGGTAGAATTGCCTGGTAGAAATTAGAAAATGTGTCTATGAACAGGGAGCTGAGCAGGAAAAGAGTGCTGAGGCTTCAGGGCTCACCCCTAGGAGGCTGTTCTAAGCACTGCGCTGCAGAGGGGAGTGGGGCCAGGACTGGACTGGACCTTTGTTACTTGTAGGGTCCTATCCTGACTTTCCCACAGAACCTTGTGGCTGAGGAGTATGTTTGTTGTTTTTATTTTTATTTTTTGACAAGATCTGGCTCTCACCTAGGCTGGAGTGCAGTGGTGCCATCACTGCTCACTGCAGCCTCAACCTCCCAGGTTCAAGCAAGTTTCCCATCTCAGCCTCCGAAGTAGCTGGGACCACAGGCTCATGCTACAATGCCTGGCTACTTTTTGTATTTTTTGTAGAGATGGGGTCTGTATGTCGTCCAGGCTGATCTCAAACTCCTGCTCAAGCAATCCACCTGCCTCGGCCTCCCAAAGTGCTGGGATTACAGGCATGAGCCACCAGGCCCAGCCAACTCTTAAGCCAATATAGGACAAGACAGCCCAAGATAGCTCCTGTAGGCAGTTTCTCCAGTTTCTGCTATGTTCCATACACAGAACTTTTTTTTTTGAAAGAGCACAAAAAAATCATAACTGTACGGCTTGTTAATTTTCACAAATAAATACTCATGAATCCAGGATTTAGATCAAGAACCAGAACATTACCAGCACCCAGAAACCTTCCTGCACCCTCTTCCACTGAGTGGCCCTTTCAACCCTTACAAAGCCGGAGAGCTCAAGTTCTGGGCCCTGTGGCCTTGGTGAGCAACACCCTGGACCGATCAGAACGACCCAGTGAGTTGGGAAAACGCTCCTTTTACCGATAAACTTGAAGCAACTCATGACTGTGGCTCTGGCACCACCTCAGCGGAGGCGGAAGTGCCATAGAACTTTTAAAAAATATATTTACCAAGAATTAAAACCAGGTGAAATAGTCTTGTATTTGGTAGTTTAAGGGAAAGCAATTGGCTGGATTAAAATGTATTCAAATGTCAGTGCTCTTTTAGAATTTGTCTAGCAGGTTTTCCAGTTTTTACCGGAAAACCCAACAACAGAAAGATCAACAGAAAGATTGATTCAAACTTTCTTGGGCATCAGAAAGTAATGATTCAGAGTTTGGGCTCTAGAATTAGACTGCCCAGGTGCCAAACACTAGCTTCATATCTAGTAGGTAAGTGGTTTCATCTTTTAAGCCTTAGTTTCTTTGTGTAAGTCAAGGAAATGGTGACCTGCTGAGATTGTAAGGATTAAAGAGAATAGACCTGAAGCGCCATGGCAAGTACTCGGTACACGTTAGCTACTAAAGCAACTCGTGCGCATCACTTGGTTAAAATAAGTTTTCATTTTTAAAATTCGGTTACATGCAGCCTCAAAACATGGTTTGGAGATCATTTATGTTTCTGCAAATGAGCAAAACTCTTGATTCAAATTGCAGATAAATCATTAAGTCATGTGTAGATTTGCCCTGGTGTATACAAGCTGCCAGGATGGAGAGAAGAGCAAGGAAATCAAAGACATTGTGATGGGAAATCTTGGTATATCTCTCACAAACACACACAAAAGCATATTAGAGACCCAGAAGCTGCTGAAGTTTTGTGGAGGTCAGAGTAGCTCGGGACCATCAACTGATCTCTGCCATTTCTTACCCCATCCCTTGCATGATTTTCACCAGTTTGGAAGCCTCTTGATGCTATGGTTATGCTTCAGTAAAAGAACAGGCCTGCAAATCAGTCAATTCTTTGCTGAGTGTTTGATTTAAAGAGCTACCTCCAGGCCGGGCGCAGTGGCTCACACCTGTAATCCCAGCACTTTGGGAGGCTGAGGTGGGCAGATCACCTGGGGTCAGGAGTTCGAGATCAGCCTGGCCAACATGATGAAACCCCATCTTTATTAAAAATACAAAAATTAGGCTGAGCATGGTGGCTCACACCTGTAATCCCAGCACTTTGGGAGGCCAAGGCAGGCGGATCACCTGAGGTCGGGAGTTTGAGACCAACCTGACCAACATGGAGAAATCCTGTCTCTACTAAAAACACACAAAAAAATAGCCAGCCATGGTGGTGCATGCCTGTCCCAGCTACTCAGGAGGCTGAGGCAGGAGACTCACTTAAACCCGGGAGATGGAGGTTGTGGTGGGCTGAGATCGAGCCATTGCACTGCAACCTGGGCAACAAGAGTGAAACTCCATCTCAGAAAAGAAATACAAAAATCAGCTGGGCAAGGTGGCAGGCGCCTGTAATCCCAACTACTCAGGAAGCTGAGGCAGGAGAATCACTTGAACCCGGGAGGCGGAGGTTGCAGTGAGCCAAGATCACACCACTGCACTCCAGCCTGGGCAACAGAGTGAGACTCCATCTCAAAATAAATAAATAAATAAATAGTTACGTCAAATTATTTCTAAATGTCTGCTTTGTTTGAGAGTTGAGCCACAGTTGTAGCCAAGTGAGGAAGAGCCCTCCATAAGGGTCCATCCAACTGATGCATCAAGTTTGAAGGAAGCCACAGTGACACTCCTTAATAAAGCTCTGCCAACTTGGCTTATAGCAAGGAAGCCATTGAACTGAGAAAGATTTGCCTGTTAGCCTTCTAAACCTTTCCCTCTCAACCTCTGCCTGGACAACGAAGTTAGGATGATGGAAGCTTCCTCAAAGCAGTAGGTATTTAGAAATCAGAAACAAGGGTCTCATCCAACTCTACGCAAAGCACACGTTTTCACCTTCATAGTCAGAAGATATGGGATGTTGGCCAATAATTCTTTATGAACATGGTCATCTAGGATCCTGAGGGAAGTCAAAAGCTGCTTGAGAAGATCATGTGTGATTTCCCTCAGCACACATTTTGGTGCCCATGCAGTTGAGCAGAAGCCTTCCACCCAGTTCAGGATCATATCTTTTTTGTGTAAACAGCATGTAGCTCATGGCCAGAAACAGGTTATGGAAGGAATGCTGAAGAGTGGAGGAAAATCCACCACAAATCATTCCATGACCAAATAGGACCATATGGAGAACATTCAGTCTTATCTTTTGTATTGTTTTGTTTTTTGAGACAGGGTCTCACTCTGTCGTCCAGGCTGTAGTGCGCTGGCATGATCACAGCTCACTGCAGCCTCAACCTCCCAGGCTCAAGCGATCTTCCCACCTCAGCCTCCTGAGTAGCTGGGACAATAGGTATGCACCACCGTGCCCAGCTCATTTTTAAATTTCTTGGTAAAGACAAGAGTCTTGTCATGTTGCCTGAATTGGTCTCAAACTCCTGGACTCAAGTGATCCTCCTGCCTCAGCATCCCAGAGTGCTGAGATCACAGGCATGAGCCACTGTGTCTGGCTGGTCTTACCTATTTTTTGAGAAGGCATGAGGTCCTAGGCGGGAGGGAAAAAAAGTAATTCCTAACTCAAAGCCTTTAAATCTAGACAGGAATCAAGATTTCAAAACTAATCAGTGCCTTGGGCTTGGAAGGGAAAGGTAAAATGAAGAGGATGAGGGGATGGCTTTGGGGGATTGAGAGCAAGGTGGGTGCAGCAGCCAGTGCATTTTCATAGTCTTATTTATTGAGCAACTACTTTGCGTCAGGTTTCATTTTTTGTTTGTTTTGAGATAGAGTCTTGCTCTGTCACCCAGGCTAGAGTGCAGAGTGCAGTGGCACAATCTCGGCTCACTGCAACCTCCACCTCCCAGGTTCAAGCGATTCTGCTGCCTCAGCCTCCCAAGTAGCTGGGATTATAGGCGTGGCCCACCATGCCCACCTAAGCCTAATTTTTGTATTTTTAGTAGAGACGGGGTTTCACCATGTTGGCCAGGCTGGTCTTGAACTCCTGACCTCAAGTGATCCGCCCACCTTGGCCTCCCAAAGTGCTGAGATTACAGGCATGAGCCACCGTGCCCGGCCTGTGTCAAGTATTCTTGATGCTGAGGATACAGCCCTCAAGAGGTGCACACCCCAGTGGAGGGAGAAACAGAATGAGATTCTTGATACAAGCAATGCTTCAGTTAACAATAGGGGTCATCACAGATTCTTGAGCAGGTGAGTGACAAGTGCGGTGGTGTGGAGGACCCAGCACAGGCTGGCAGAGCAGCAGTAGAGAGGGACTGGAGGCAGGGGAGGTAGCAGTGCCAGTTACAGAGCTGAGGGGCTCCCCGAGACATGGGCGGAGTCTCATCTCTTTCTTGCTTTATTCCCACCCCTGGCCTTTTATGGCCAGAAGCCTTGGAAAGCCGGGTCACACCTGGTGGGCCCCTTCCTATGGCAGGGATGAGGACAAAAGCACGTGTATGGGCTCGCCCTGGAGAAGAGGAGGGGTGTCTGGGAGTCCTCTTCTGCCCTGCTCCTTCAAAAGTCAGTTCTGGTTTGAGCACTGGAGTCTGGGCTTGGAAGGCACCTGTGAGCAGAGGAGGGAGGGGGTCACCCCCCAGAGTTTGGAAGGGTGACAGCTTCATCTATATTCCATTACCCACCCTCTTCTACAGTAGGGTAGAAAACTAGAGAAGGGACCTGGAAGACAAAGAGTCAGCTTTGTCACAGGAAGAGGCAGCTGTAGACACAACGGCAGCCACCAGGTGACCTAGAGCCCTCCCCACAGGCCCAAGCCTGGCTCACGCAGCAGGGTGGCAAGGGCCTGGGGGCGGCCTTAGAAAGCTGCAAAAGTGGCTGTGCGCGGTGGTGATCCCAGCACTTTGGAAGGCCGAGGCGGAGGCTCGCTTGAGTCCAGGAGTTCGAGGCCAGCCTGGGAAACATGGCGAGATGCCCCTGCCTTCCCTATAAAAAAAATAAAAATAATTTTTTTTAAAAAAGCAACTGACCCGCCTGGGTGACGCCCTCAAGCCCCCCCCCCCCCGCCCTTTCCCCACCCGGGCTTCAGTTTGCTCATTGGGGCCTAATCCAGCAGGGCTGTTGCGAAGCTGCCTGGGAGACACCAAGGGGGACCCCCGCCCCGTCCGCCGAGAGCGCCCCCTGGCGGCCCGGCCCTCCCCTGCGCCGCGGGTCCGGGGGCCCTTCCCAGTCCAGGCGCGGCGCACCCTGGGGGATCCGTCCAGCTCCAGAAGTTTCTTCGTCTAAATTACTTGGAGTTGATCTTTCTAAACAGGATTGCTCAGACACACCCTGCCTTCTCGAACAAGGAAAGAACTCTACCCATCCCACTCAACTGCCATGTACGACCGCCTGCAGCCTCATCACAGGGCACTTCCCATAACATCCTACCACCGCGGACCCCAGGCCTCGCCCCTAAAGCCCGAGCCCTGACATCCTGCAGCCTGGAATCGCACATCTCCAGTCACGTGGCCACTGGCCCCGTTTCGCCAAACATGTCCGGAACCGAACCCATCTTCTTGCACCAAACCTTCTTGTGCTCTTCCTCTTCCCTTCCTGAACAAGTCGGCCCTAAAGCCACAGGTGGGGCGACTAAATTTTTTCGTATAAATAAATCCCAAACATTGCATAGGACATAATTATACATTTTATACTAAAAAAAAATGTTCATCTGAAATTCAAATTTAACTGGGCATTCTGTTTTTATTTGCTAAATCTGACAACCCTACTGCCCCTGTCTCTGGCCAGCCAGTTCCTCCTCGTCTCCTGGAGCCAGCCCTGGAGCTTCCCTAGACAGATTCCAGGGACAGCTCCTCCAGGCACAAGGTCATGATGGCGGTGATGGCAAATTATTGCAATGGCTTGTTTTCTTACGTTTCTCCACCCACACTGTGAGTTGTTGGAAGGCCAGACTGTGTGTTTCTCTCTCTTTACCCCAAAGCCTGAAGTTAGGTGCTTAGGTAATGCTCACCACTGTAAAGCCAGTAGGAAGTAAGCGCGTTTTTCTGTTTTGTTTTTTGTTTGTTGTTGTTGTTGTTTTTGAGATGGAGTCTCGCTCTGTTGCCCAGGCTGGAGTACAGTGGCGCAATCTCGGCTCACTGCAACCTCCGCCTCCAGGGTTCAAGCGATTCTCCTGCTTCACCCTCCCGAGTAGCTGGGATTACACCCGCACGCCACCATGCCTGGCTAATTTTTGTATTTTTAGTAGAGACGGGGTTTCACCATGTTGGTCAGGCTGGTCCCAAACTCCTGGCCTCGTGATCTGCCCGCCTCAGCCTCCCAAAGTGCTGGGATTACAGGCATGAGCCACCACGCCCGGCCCTAAACGCGTTTTTAAAGGCGGTGTCTCTCGGTGAAGAGCTGTCACACAATGGTGCTCTCAGGGGTCTGTGGGCCACTGTACCGAGGCCTACACTCCCAAGTTCATTGAGTTACTTTTGAAAAGCATTATACTTGAGCTAGTTTGCCCGCGGGTGTGTGAAGGGAGACAGTCAGTGTGGAGGCCACAGGGTACTCGCCACGATGAGCAGCACCCTAGCTAAGATCGCGGAGACAGAAGAGGAGATGGCTTGGACTCAACAAGGCCACAGCACACCACCTGGGGCTGCTTAAGGCTCGTCTTGCTAAGCTTCGTCGAGAACTCACTACTCCAAAGGGTGGTGGTGGTGGTGGAGGTGCAGAAGAAGGTTTTGATGTGGCCGAGACAGGTGATGCTTGAATTGGATTTGTTGGTTTTCCATTTGTGGGGAAGTCGACACTGCTTAGTAACCTGGCAGGGGTATATTCTGAGGTGGCAGCCTATGAATTCACTACTCTGAGCACTGTGCCTGGTGTCATCAGATACAAAGGTGCCAAAATCCAGCTCCTGGATCTCCCAGGTATTATTGAAGGTGCCAGGGATGGGAAAGGTAGAGGTCGTCGATCATTGCAGTGGCCCGAACCTGTAACTTGATCCTGATTGTTCTGGATGTCCTGAAACCTTTGGGACATAAGAAGATAATTGAAAATGAGCTGGAAGTCTTTGGCATTCACTTGAACAGCAACCACCGCCCCCCAACAATGGCTTTAAGAAGAAGGACAAGGGAGGCATTCATCTCACAGCCACTTGCCCACAGAGTGAGCTGGATGCTGAAACTGTGAAGAGCATTCTGGCTGAATACAAGATTCATAATGCCGATGTGACTCTACGTAGTGATGCTACAGCTGATGACCTCATTGATGTGGTGGAAGGAAACAGAGTTTATATCCCCTGTATCTATGTTAAATAAGATTGACCAAATGTTATGTTAAATAAGATTGACCAAATGTTATCTTATGTTAAATAAGATTGACCAAATCTCCATTGAGGAATTGGATAGCACTATAAGGTGCCTCACGGTGTACCCATCTCTGCCCATCACCACTGGAATTTTGATGACCTATTGGAAAAGATCTGGGACTATCTGAAACTAGTGAGAATTTGCACCAAACCCAAAGGCAATTACCAGGTTACACATCCTCAGTGGTACTTCCTTACTCCAGGACCACAGTGGAGATTTCTGCATGAAGATTCACAAAAATCTTATCAAAGAATTTAAATATGCTCTGGTCTGGGGTCTCTCTGTGAAACACAATCCTCAAAAAGTGGGTAAAGACCATACGTTGGAGGACAAGGATGTCATTCAAATTGTGAAGAAGTGCAACCTTTTCCTTTTCCCATCTACCGGGCGAACCACAGCAGCCTTCCCCATGATCAAGCACCCTACCCCAGTTCCTTCTGGTTTTGGCAGTCACTGGATCAGGATCCAGGGGAGGGAGATGGAGGCACCAAAACTGGCACTTCGTTAGTCTTACCTTGCTGTCACCTTGTATGTCGAACTGCATAAAAGACCTGGTAGGCTGGTCATCTATGTGCAAAAAAAAAAAGAAAAAGAAAACCATTATACTTGAGCGAATTCTTATAGTATAAAAACTTCCCAACAATCAAAAGCAAACAAAATAAAAACAAACAAAAAGCTTCTCCTCATTGTCTCTGCCTTTCAATTTCATTCCCCTCCCAAGAGTTAATCGTTGTTAACTGTTGAGTATGCAAATTCCAAATATTTTTCTTTGTATTTATTAGGCCATAATGAAGAGCCTAATAAACCCAAGAAGCTGAAATCATACAGGACACATTCACTGAATAGAATGCAATTTAATTAGAAAGGGAGGGCAAAACGATCTTAGAAACAGAAATATATTTATTAATAAAGCATGTATCTTCAAAATATAAATATATTTGTTACTAGAAATATATCTTAGAAAAAAATTTATTTGAGACAAGGTCTCGCTATGTTTCCAGGCTGTCCTTGAATTCCTGGCCTCAAACAATCCTCCCACCTAGGCCTCCCAGAGTATTGGGATTACAGGCATGAGCCACCATGCCTACTCTAGAAATTTTTTAAAATACTCTTCTTAGTAACTCCTCATTTAAAGAGCTAATCTAATCTAGAACAAACTATTATGGGTTAATTTCCAAATTAATAGCAATGACAGACATATATAAAAACCTGGGGATTCAGGCCAAACGTTATTTAAAGAAAATGTTTAGTCAAGAAAATCTGAAGATAAATGAACTCAAGAAGCTAGTAAAATAAGACCAAAAAAAATTACAAAGAAAGCGGAAGGACGGAATTAATAACAAACTCACACACACACTCACAAAAACTTGACCAGTTAAAAATAATGAATTAGACATGCTTTTGGAAAATTTGAATTTAGCAAAAAAGATGAAAGACACAAACAGTAAGAAGATATAAAATTGTGATTTTTAATTATAAGAGAATTTATATTAAAAGTCTACTTACAAACTAAAAATTAAATGAAATAAATAATTTTCTTTCCTTTTTTTTTTGAGACAGAGTCTCACTCTGTCACCCAAGCTGGAGTGCAGTAGTATGATCACCATCACAGTTCACTGCAAACTCAGCCTCCCAGGCTCAAGTTATCCTCCCACCTCAGCCTCCCAAGTAGCTAGGACCACAGGTGTGCTCCACCACACCCAGCTAATTTTTAGTATTTTTTTATAGAGATGAGTTTTCGCCACATTGCCCAGGGTGGTCTCAAACCTCTGAGCTCAAGCGATCCTCCTGCCTCAGCCTTTCAAAGTGCTGGGATTTACAGGTGTAAGCCTCTGCACCCAGCCCAAAATAAATAATTTTCTAGGGAAATATATAGTTCCAAAATTGATTCAAGAGGAGTGGGAAACTTGACTATATCAATACCATTAAAGAAATTAAGGAAGTAGGAAACAAACAAACAAAACCAGAGGTATCACGTTTCCTGATTTCAAAACTTATTAGAAAGCTACAGTAATCCAAACAGTGTGGCACTGGCATAAAGACAGACATACAGACCGAAGGAAGAGAATAGACAGACCAGGGAGAAACCCTCGCATATATGGTCAAGTGATCTTCCACAAGGGTGCCAAGACCGTCCAATGAGGAAACAACAGTCGTTGCAACAAGTGATGCAAAAGTTGGTCCCTTACCTTACATCATATACAAAACTAACTAAAAATGGATGAAGATCTAAACGTAAGACCGAAAACTGTGAAACCCTATAAGAAAATGTAGGGGGAAAGCTTCGTGATGTTGGATTTGGCAGTGATTTGGCTATGACAGCAAAAACACATGCAAAAGCAAAACTAAATAAATGAGACTACATCAAACTTTAAAATGTCTGTGCACCAAAGGAAACAATCAACAAAGTGGAAAGGCAATCTACAGACTGGGAGAAAATATTTGCAAATATGTAAATAATAAAGGGTTAATATTCAGAATACATAGACACCTACAACTCAACAACAACAAAAAACAACGTGATTTTAAAATGGACAAAGGACTTAAATAGACATTTCTCCAAAGATGATATATAAATGGCCAAGAAGAATGTGAAAAGATGCTCAATGTCATCAGTCATCATCACGGAAATGCAAGTCAAAACTGCAATGAGATATCATTTCACACCCATTGAGACAGCTACTAAAAGAAAAAAAAAAGAACAAGGAAATAACAAGTGTTGGTGAAGCCTCTGTGGAAAAAACAGTATGGTGCGTCTTTGAAAAATTAAAAATAGAATTACCTTGTGATTCAGCAATCCCACTTCTTGAAATACCTCCAAAGGAATTGAAAGCAGGCTCATATTAAAACAGTCAATAGCTAGTGGTGTGTGTTTATATACAATGAAATTTTTATCAGCCTTGAAAAGAAAGGGTACATGCCACAGCATGGAGGAAAGTTGAGGACACTGCACTAAATGAAATAAGCCAGCCACAAAAAGACAAATACTGTATTTCCCCAAATGAGTTGAAAACTTTGTCCATAAAAAAAACTGCGTATGAATGTTTATGTCAGCTTTATTCATCATTGCTAAACATTCAGAACAAACCAAGATATCCTTCAGAAATAGATGAACTGGTACATCCATACAACACAATATTGTTCAGCAAGAAAAAGGAATGTGCTATCAAGCCGTGAAAAGACCTGGAGGAACCCTAACTCCACATTGCTAGATGAAAGTA